>NW_003315938.1:0-120804 GCF_000001405.40 Homo sapiens
AATTCTCCTTGGGATACTAGTGTGTGAGTACAGGGTTACTTCTCCCTAGCTAACAGAAGTTGATATTTCAGGGCTTCTCTCAATGCCTGCTTTCCCCTCTAACCTGTTGTACCAGTAGACTGCTTCCTGGTAATATGACTTATCTTTGTGTTTGTATTTCCTCATTCGGCCTTATCTTCCCCTTCTTCTTTTTACCAAACTCGGTCCAGGGAAGCTCTTGCTATTAGACTATACTTCTAACATAAGTAATATTGACCCAGATAAAGAAGAGCTGGGCTTCGCCAGGCTTGAATGAGATCTGTACCCTCTGGAGTCTTCTCTCAGCATCTGCCTGTGTCCCTGTTTTACTTCAGAAGATCTGGCAGCCTTCTTCCTTTGCTAGGATTCAGAGTTAGAGGGCCCTCTTCCTGTCATAGAACTAAGTTCTAGCTTTAGGTTTTGTTTCTTGTTCTTATTGATTTGGGTGATTTCTAAGAGGAGAGGAAAAAACATCTTGATTACACCTATTTTAAAACTGCAAATCATGTATTCAAATTTTAACAATGACTTCTATGATCAATAACTTTAAATACTCTCTTAATTTCTTCACTGCTCTCATTTCTAACTCTTTAGTTATATTTATTTCTTTATGACTATCAACAACTTATTTTCAATCCTGCTCAATTAAATTTTAGAAGTAAGGGCACAGTCTTTACAAAACATAAAGAGCAGCTTACAGCCTTGCCTACAACCTCTAGCACATATTTCAGGATCATATTAGTTTTCTAAATTATCACTTCTTAATATAGAACTATAGGTAAGAAAATTTTATATTTATATGTTCAATAAAATGTCACAATGAAAATTGTGAAAAGATTTTTTCTCTATGACAAGCAAAAACATGATAATGTATAATGTGCAGATGAAATGTCAATTCATTCCAATATATACACATTACTATAAAGATCATTATATAGAAGTTATGCTGTATTTGAAATTGGTAAGCTGATATAAAGAGGTATTATTTTGAAATAGCACATCAGCTAATGATGAAAAAATACCACATATATTTTCATACTAAAGAATGCAACTATTGGAAGTGTCTTTTCCCTTAGTCACTTAAGGAATTAAATATACTTAGGATAATAGGCAACTTTTAAAAAGAAAATGTTTATCAGTTTTGTAGGGGGAGGTCCAAGTTCACGACACATCACACTACATTTTATAGAAGTATAGGGTTTTATTAAACTTCCTGTTTCTGCTGGCTGCTTGCTTGCATAGCTGTGGAGGGCCATGTGATTGTAGCAAATGCTGGATGTAAATTTATATCTTTGGCATAAAATGAAAGATAAAATTATTGGAAATCTGAAAATGTTTTTGCTTGTATAAAAACTTGATCTTAAAAGTTACACTACACCACCTTAGAAAGGGAGAGGGACAGAATTAATGTCAATAGTCTAAATATTGGTTTGGGCTTCTAGCAAATTTTTCATGGGAGGCCATGGGGGTGTGATTAATGCTTCCCAAGAACACTTAGATATTCTCCATCAAGTAATCTGTGCTGGAAAGGATTGAATGCTAGGTCCCCAGATGATTAAAGCATATTGGCCCAAGGTAACATTAAAGCTAGAACTCAATAATTCTAGTTAAACTAGTAAAAATGAGAGATTTAAATTTATACCCAGATTTTGAAGAAAAAATAACTAATCAACAAATGCACACACGGAAAGTTTCCAACTACACATTTCCTACTAAATGAAAAATCCCATACCCAGATATTCATAGCTTCTAATTATTTTGTACTCAAACTTCCCAGGTATTTTTTCATTAGATACCCTTATTCTCTCACAAAAAGGTTGTAATAAGGTTGTTGCCACAGCTGCACCAATTCTCTCTTACCCTTCTCTGATTTTTGAGGGCAACTGGAAACCAATGTGGTTTGTTTTTGTACATAGTAACTTGGCCCAGGTCACAGGAATACCACAAAAGAGTCTGATAACAACACATTTGCACTCAGACTGCACATGTACAGATAAATACACATCCCAAAACTATTTTTTCACCCTCACCCACAGAGACAATATATCACTGCCGTTAGAGTCATCAACTGCTTCAGAACATGAAATGCCACTTTAAGACAGTGCCATGGAGCCATTCCAGGCATTCATTAAAGCTTTTTATTTTTTAAATTTTATTTTCTTTTAGATTCAAGGAGTACACACACGTTTGTTACATGGGTATATTGCATACTGGTGGGGATTGGGCTTGTAGTGCACCCATCACCCAAATAGTGAACATTGTACCCAATAGGTAGTTTTTCAATCCTTGGCCACCTCCCATCCTCCTCTCTTTCAGAGTCCCCAGTGTCTATTATTTCCATCATTATGTCCATGTGTACTCACTGTTTAGTTCACAATTACAAGTGAAAATATGCAGTATTTGGTTTTCTGTTTCTGTGTTCACTTAGGATAACGGCCTCTAGCTCCATTCTTGTTGCTGCAAAGGATATGATTTCATTATTTTTTATTGCTGAGTAGTATTTCATGGTGTATTAGGTACCACATTTTCTTTATCCAGTCAACCATTGATGGATACTTAAGTTGATTCCATAACTTTGCTCTTGTGGACAGTGCTGTGATGAACATGAGTGCAGGTGTCTGTTTTACATGTGATTCATTTTCCTTTGGGTAGATACCCAACCGTGGGATTGCTAGGTGCAATGATAGTTCTATTTTTAGTTCGTTGAGAAATCACTGTTTTCCATAGAGATTTAACTAATTTATATTCCCACTAACAGTGTATAAGTGTTCTTTTTTCTCTGCATCCAGGCCAACATCTGTTGCTTTTTGACTTTTTAATAATAGCCTTTCTGACTGGTGGAAGATGATATCTCATTGTGGTTTTAATTTGCATTTCTCTGATGATTAGTGATGTTGAGCATTTTTTCATGTGTTTGTTGGCTGCTTGTATTTCCTCTTTCAAGAAATGTCTGTTCATGTCCTTTGCCCAGTTTTTAACGGGGGTTGTTTGTGTTTTTTCTTGTGGAGTTGAGTTCCTTGTGTTATTAGTTCTTTGTCAGATGTATAGTTTGAATATATTTTTTCCAATTCTGTAGGTTGTTTAGTCTGTTGATTATTTCCTTTGCTGTGCAGTAACTTTTTTGTTTAACTAGGTCCCATTTGTCTATTTTTTTTTTGTTGCTATTGCTTTGGGGTCTTCATCATACATTTTTTTGTCTAGTCCAGTGTCCACAAGTTTTTACTAGATTTTCTTCTAGAATTTTTACAGTTTCCAGTCTTACATTTAAGTCTTTAATCCTTCTTAAGTTAATTTTTTGTATGTGGTGAGAGAGATAAGACTCTAGTTTCATTCTTCTACATATGGCTATCCAATTTTCCCAGCACTATTTATTGAATAGGGTGTCCTTTCTCCAGCGTTCACTAAAGCATTTTAAAATCATTGTTCCTTGAGAATTATCTATTTTACAATTGTGATTTCCTTATTCTTTTCAGGCCACTCTTAATCAGTCTAAATCTAACTAATATCCCTAGAAACCGTATTAAAAATGGTTGGCTTATTTTCAGTGTATATAAATACAATTATACAATTATTTTAATAATTTTATTGTGTACTTGTTTCAGACTCATTGCTCCAGCTGGAGAGTTGATTATGACACAATGCCTGCCTTGAAGAGGTAAGAATTTAGTTGGAGGCAAAGGTTAGAATAAGGAAGCTATACGGTAATTACTTAAGGATTATATGGCAAAGCATTTCCTAAGCAAATGGCTTTCAAATTCATGGCAGTTGTTGAATCTTTTCTTAATAGAAATCTTATAAGTAAATCCAAGTTATTAGACGCATAAAAGAAAAATTCTTCTGATTGAAATAAGAACACAATTCCATGAGTCTCTCCTGCTGGGTTCCTTGTCTTAACCCCTTGCAGCCCTTAAGCTTCTTTTACAGATGCTCTTAGGGTTTTTGGAGTGAATCTCTTAATCCCTACTGTACACATACATACATTTATTTTGTCCAAATAACTGAAGACAGATATATTTAATGTATAATAGCCTTTGATAAGTAGCAGTATCCCACGATATGGGTTGGAATAACCATATTACAGACTAAAGTATGATTTTTAAAGTAGAAATCAATGGGGACTAGTGAAAAGATAGCAAACAAAGAAGTGAAGGATGGCAATTGGTCTCATGATATTACAGAACTAACCAATTAATGGTTAATAGATAAACAAGCCAGACTTTCCAAATCCTAACTTCTATGGATAAAGTTTTACGAGAACCATTGCTAGTTTTGTCCCTCAGTTCTCCCCAAATGACTGTGCTAACTGATAGGTACTATGGAACACTATGCAAATGTCTCCAGATAGTTGAAGGATTCATGTATTTAGTAAGTACCACTGCATGCATTAGAATATTCTAGATAGGTCTTGGGTTGGAATAAACATGGTCTTATTATACAAAACGTGTTCTTAGAAATTAACCAAATTCTAAGAAACGAACTCAGTTTTATCTTACCAAATTCCACGAGGTGGGTGCCTGAGTATAAAACCAACCTAAAGTTTTAGATATGGAGTTTTCTTGCCACCAGATGTTGAAGCTAGGAAAGAAGATGGGGCCTCACTAACTTACTTTGCATTTACTTTCTGCCTTGTAAACATGTGGCAAATGTAATAGAAAGTATATTTAGGATATAAGCAGGAAAATAAATTTTTATTTTTTTTTCTGACATTTTGTGACTCTAGATTCCCATGACACAAACACTGTTTAGATATGTAGTTCAGTGATTTAGTGCTTTGTGGGCAGGTAATTCATGGACTTCTCATCCACTTGATTTTGAGTAAGAGAGCTTTGGAATTGTGATGCAAAATTAAATTAGACTAATCACAGAAGCAGAGCATTCAATTGAGAAAAAATTGTAGGGAAATTTACAAAGAGAGGAAAGGGTGATTAGTGATAAAGGGTAGTAAAAAATAGCTTTTGTTTAAATACTAGAGATAAACCCAAGTACCCAGCTAGATATGTGCTTGGGAGAGAACTGTATAAAAGGAGAGATTTATTGGAAATGTTTTGTGACAGAATACTATCAGCAGATGTTCCTTGTTAGGAGAATACATATTAATGTTGATGTATTGCCTCAATTTGTTTACATTCCCTCCAAACTGGCTGATAAAGCTGCCTTATAGAATCACTGCACATGGTTATACACTGTACAAGGAAAAATATCTAAGAATGACATTCACATCATAGATGTCATGGATTTGCATATTTATTATGGCAATATTCTCTACTGAAATAAAGTCATGAGGAAGGGGCACTTTTTTCCCATTTACAAAAAGGTGCCACCTGTGCTAGCAACAATCTAGTGTTAATTCTTCCGTAGAATCACTTCAACTCTAAGATGTTCCTTGGCCAGATGAACAGATGAATCATTCCTCATTTCCTTTTCTTATCATGCTCATAAATGAGATCTAAAATGCTCATTAGGTCTTTGGACTCTTTTGGCACCAAAAAGATGGTTGGCATTCAAAAGACTGGGAAGGAACCCAAAACTAGTTGTTTCACTAACACAAATTGGGGATTGGGTAGTCACAGACGGAAAACAAATAAGCGGATTTGGTGAAGAAAATTATACTTCTTTTTTCTTTCTTGTTTACTGCCTGGTGCATAGCAGCTACTCAAGAAAATATTTTGGGAATGAATTAATGTCCATAGGGACCATCATCTCTAGAACCATCCAAAGTCTCCTTTACTTTCAGGATCAGTCCAAAGGCTAAGTATTTATGACTTCATGGAGGATAAATATTAGTAACAGTGATGATGAAACTGATTATACATTGTAGTTCTTTACATAGATTCTACCAACTGATACTCCTATACTCCTTACTTTACTATACTCCTGTGATTTTCTAAAACATACTCCTTCCTTTATACTCCTTACTTTATACTCCTTCCTTTATACTCCTTACTTACTCCTTACATACTCCTTACTTTATACTCCTTACTTTACTGTACTCCTGTGATTTTCTAAAACATACTTATTCTATTATATCCAGGCAGCTGTTCTCCATTCTCACTACGTAACCCAATGTCCACTTTCTGGCCAGGTTCTCAGGCACACTTGACATTTTCATCAAGAGAAGGAAAATCATTTCAAGTCCAAAGGATAAGCACCATCATGGTAAAAAGGTCATAAAACACTAGGAGTTGCTCTTTAGCAATAGATTTTTGAAGGTAAGGCCAAAGAAAACATGGGACATGGTTTGGAACAAGCTTGCGTATACTTCATCATCAGGGCTGTGGTACACAGTATGAGAAGGCTTCAGGGGAATTAAAACACCACTGGAAAGGAGGGTTTTGCTTGCATTGGCTATAATAAATATGTTTTTACAATAAACAAATGGGTGGCCATAAGACATGCATGTCTGATGTTGAAGGGAAAGCCTGTTTGCACCAAATAAATTACAGAAACAGTTCAAGAGCAGTTCATCCTAGTGAAAATATTATCCCTGAACTACTAGCAGGGTTAGTGTCAGGTTAGGTTATCTTTTGTATGAATGCCAACTACACTCACTAAACCTGCCTAAGGGTAGTTTGTTGAAACCATTATACGCTTTTTCAGTAATCTTACACACTTCTACTTTAATCACAGCCAAATCTTACTTTTTTCATCTCAGGATCAACTTTTTCAGGGGGCTATCTTACAGCTTGAAAATCATTCTTCCCTGCCCCGGCATGCTCCCTGCCCCTGCCCTATCCTATGTGACTGCATTCCAAATGAATGTCTGAGATGAAGGCCAGGGCAATAGATGCCAATCCTGTACAAATCACAGAGCGGACAGACTGATCCAAAGGCCATCATTTATTCAAAGTCCAGTCCTTTAGTTCACTGGAAGGGAATGGCTTTTAAAATATGGCCAGCAAAAACAATGAAGTAAGACTCTTTGGGGGGCATTAATTTCATCAAAACTTTTGAAACTCTTTAGATGCTCATAAACTTTGGATTTTTAGAGCACTACAGGAATATAATATATTTATATTTGTTATTTATTATAATTTATAAATATTTATTTTGTAACGTAAATATTTATAAGTTTTGGTCTTCCAAGCCTCTAATGCAAAAATGAACATGGAATTAATTGAATGGCTAGCAAGGCAGATGAATACTTCTCAGCAATGGCAATTAATACTCTAATTGCTACGACTTGCAAAGGTTTGCAAAGAGAACAAAAACTTCACATCAATAGTCTGTCACCAAGCATTCACTGAACACCCACAAATTGGAATAGGTATCTGACAGAAGCTATCTGTGGACAGTATCCTCAAATTACTCTTCTGTCTTTCCAGATAATTAAGGCATTTAGAAATTGATATGGTTTGAATCTGTGTCCCCATCCAAATCTCATGTCAAATTGTAATCCCCAATGTTGGAGGTGGGGTGTGGTAAGAGGTGATTGGATTACGAGGGTGGGTCCTTCATGAATAGTTGAGCACCATTCCCTCGGTGCTGTTCTCCTGACAGTGAGTGAGTGAGATATGGTGAGATCTGGTTGTTTAAAAGCGTGTGACACCTCCCCGCTTTTTCACTTCATCCTGTTCCTGCCACGTAAGATGTCTACTCCCACTTTGCCTTCCGCCATGAGTAAAATCTCCCTGAGGCCTCCCAGAAGCAGCTGCTGCCATGTTTCCTATACAACCTGTGAAACCATGAGCCAATTAAATCTCTTTTCTTTATGAATTACCCAGTCTCACATATTTCTTTATAGCAGTGCGAGAACAGACTGCTACAGGAATATGTGTCTGTCAAATACTTGTTGTTATTGTTGTTTATAATGTTATTCACTGTAAGTTCTTTTTAAATCATTTTTTTAAAGTAGGAATGAATGTTCTTCCTTTTCCTGCTTGCAGTACGTCAGTGTTATATGTTACAAGTCAAGAGCTTCAAGACAGAAAAGCAGGATTTGTGTTTCAACTCTATCACTTCATAACTGGGCAAATGATTGAAACTCTGAGTCTCAGTCCCTTCCACCATAAAATGAGGATGAAAGTGATAGCCTCTATGCACAGTTTTTGAGAAGGATTGCAGAGAATAATGTATGAGATGAAGTAATCAAAGCTTATATAAATATAAGTTGCCATTTTTTTGTATATTTTTCTTCTTTTTTTATTATTATTATACTTTAAGTTTTAGAGTACATGTGCACAATGTGCAGGTTAGTTACATATGTATACATGTGCCATGCTGGGGTGCTGCATCCATTAACTCGTCATTTAGCATTAGGTATATCTCCTAATGCTATCCCTCCTCCCTCCCCCCACCCCACAACAGTCCCCAGAGTGTGATGTTCCCATTCCTGTGTCCATGTGTTCTCACTGTTCAATTCCCACCTATGAGTGAGAACATGCAGTGTTTGGTTTTTTGTCCTTGCGATAGTTTACTGAGAATGATGATTTCCAATTTCATCCATGTCCCTACAAAGGACATGAACTCATCATTTTTTATGGCTGCATGGTATTCCATGGTGTATATGTGCCACATTTTCTTAATCCAGTCTATCATTGTTGGACATTTGGGTTGGTTCCAAGTCTTTGCTATTGTGAATAGTGCCACAATAAACATACGTATGCATGTGTCTTTATAGCAGCATGATTTATAGTTCTTTGGGTATATACCCAGTAATGGGATGGCTGGGTCAAATGGTATTTCTAGTTCCAGATCCCTGAGGAATCACCGCACTGACTTCCACAATGGTTGAACTAGTTTACAGTCCCACCAACAGTGTAAAAGTGTTCCTATTTCTCCACATCCTCTCCAGCACCTGTTGTTTCCTGACTTTTTAATGATAGCCATTCTAACTGGTGTGAGATGGTATCTCATTGTGGTTTTGATTTGCATTTCCCTGATGGCCAGTGATGATGAGCATTTTTTTCATGTGTCTTTTGGCTGCATAAATGTCTTCTTTTGAGAAGTGTCTTTTGAATTGTCTTTTACAACCTGGTGAAAAGCTTATGACATGTAAGTGACCATTTAAATCAGTGATACCTGATGAGAACTTTGCTGCACATAAAAATCACCAATGGAGCTTAATAAAAATATAGCCCAATAGGCTATAGCCCTCACTGATTCTGACTTAGTAGACTGGGTGCGGGCCAGTATGTCTCTTTTTAAAAGTGCCATAGGTAGACCAAGATTTGACAACTACTGTCTTAATAAACAAGAAAGCCCCTCTTCTTCAGGATGCTTCTGGGAAAATAACTAATGTACCTTCTAGATGATTTGGCTTACAAATAGAAACTTGGATTCCAGGACAATCTGTGAAAATCCATATGCTAAAAACTCTTGTAAACTCTAATAATAGATTCTAAACCTCCAAATATGAGAATCTATAGAAATGTACTCTGCCTGGTGGTAGAAATTTGAATTAAGGGATACTAAGGAAAGTTGATATTAGTTCATTAAAGTATCTGCCATGCTATCACTACAGACAAGGAATATACGCTAATATAACTGACCAATAATTTTATAGAATCTGCAGTTCCACAAAAATGTTTTAGTAAATAGTGTGAAACATGAGAGGAAATGGTAATTTTTAATTTTCTTCTTCTTTACTAGAGGGGCTGAATTACTCATGGCGTCCCAAATCTCTCTTAATGCATAGTATGAGGTCTGTAGTTGTTAAGACTGACTCAACATTTTCTTAAAAGAATTCTGAATTGAATCTTTCTGAAGAAGAAAAAAAAAAGATCACTTACCATTTCATTATTTTTCATCCTCATTCACCTCTGAACTTCCTGGTTCTGTCTGGGGCCAAAGTAAAAATGCCAAAACACCACGGGAAAGGCTGCTCTCACAGTATTTCTGGCTCACCAAAAATTTCTGGAGAAAGCCAGTTTCCATGAGATTTCAGTTCCAATTTTATAGACCCAAGAAAACTCAAGATAGTTCAGATAAAGTTCAGATAAGCATTCAAATTTTTCAGTTACTGATGCCAGAAGAACCACTAAGTCATTTGACATGTTCACATCACTGTTTTAGGACAGAAAAAAAAAACAACTAGAATTCTGATCCAATGTGAACAATTTTAGAGGAGTACAATGTACTGAGAAGCCATTAGAATTAATAGGTAATTTTTTTAATAAAATGCAAAAATAAAAACAATGACCCTGTGGCTTATTTTAGGTATAAATAAAATTTAAATGAAATAACCTAACAACATCAAACATTGAGCAATAGCTTGTCCAAGAAAAGCTACTACGGCAATTAACACAAGATATGACTTGAGGTGACAACACTTTGCCCACCTGTTTATCTTTCTGAGTTCCTACCTTACCTTCCTTCCTTAAAAATGGAAATGATAGTACCAACATCACTATACATTACATGTTCCAGCAGGTATAATGAACTACTAATCCTAAAACCTTAAAGTTCTCTATTTCTTGCATTGGCATGGGATGGAGCAGGAAAGAAGAAAGTTAATTGAACTTGCAAATAATCCTCTAAAAAAATTACCTTTGGGGCCAGAAATTACCCTCTGAGGCAAGAAATAAATTCTGAATTTTTTAAAGGGTGAGTGGTTTGGTAAATTTACTCACCAGGAGATCAAGATCTTCTCAAAAACTGTCAACAAAGAAAAACATCGCATGCACACCAGAGTCTCATTATAACACTACCCACCCTGGTGTGAAGTTTGGAATAGCGAGCTTTTATTCTTGGATCCCATCCAAAGAGATTCAGTTATTGTAAGCACCAGAAGGAAATTGCTATAACATGGCTCCATGTATAATGCTTTTTTGTGGCATAAGCAAGACCCTATTATGCTAAAATACAGTAACTGACAAAATTAGGCTATAGAAACTGGAAATAACTGCCATTAAAAAGGAGTTTAGTATGTTTATCATTCTACTAAAATTTTAACCAGTCTTCTCATCTCCCAAGAAATACATAAACCTTAGCAAATCAAATCTGTATCTTCTTCACCCAGCATAAATTATCTCTTGTTCTTAGCTAATGGGAGAATACATACTTACAAGGATAGGAAAAATACTTTGGACTCTTCCTTTACTAAGTTTATAGCTAAAGGAACATTTTTAAAGAATGTTTCCAATGTAGACAACCATTTTGAAATATTTAGGTAAGGAAAAATTAATTAATACCTACCATTTTAAAGTACTACTTTATTTCCTTTCTTTTTCTTCTACCATCTTGCCACTCAACTTGGGAACTTAATTACTCAAATTATTTGTGTATATTTACCCCCATGATATGGTTTGGCTGTGCCCCCACCCAAATCTCATCTTGAATTTTAGCTCCCATAATTCCCACATGTTGTGGGAGGGACCCCTGGTGGGGGATACTTGAATCATGGAAGGAGTTTCTTCCAGACTGTTCTCCTGGTAGTGAATAAGTCTCACGAGATCTGATGTTTTTATAAGGGGTTTCCCCTTTTGCTTGGCTCTCGTTCTCTCTCTTGCCTGCTGCCATATAAAACATGTCTTTCACCTTCCACCATGATTGTGAGACCTTCCCAGCCACATGGAACTGTGAGTCCATTAAACCTCTTTTTCTTTATAATTTACTCAATCTCGGGTATGTCTTTATCAGCAGTGTGAAAATGGACTAATACACCCCACTTACTAAATAATTATTGATTTGTACTTTAGAAGGAGATATCAGGCTTCTAAGTAGGGGTCAAGTTTCCTCTTAATTTTGTCAATCAATTCTTCAATTTTCAGGAAAATGAAGAAATTTTCTCTGGTCATATATTATCCCTAATAACTATTAAACAAAAGCATAAATTATTAGTAATTTTATTAATCAAAATTTGTATCTAAACTCTAACTCAATACCCATATTTAGAAAGGAGCAAATTCCTCCAAAAGAAAATATACCTAGTTAATATGCTATAAAAATATCAAGTCTGAATCTTAGCACTCAGTAGACTGAAAATTACTCAAAAGTAAGGGATTAGAGAAACAAAAAGTCTTGGCAAATATACACGTAGAGGTGTCCCACCCATATTTAAATCATTAGTTATCTTTTAATATGGTACCTACTATTTGTTTAATGTCACTAAGTATGAGGTACTATCCTAGGCATTGTACATGTGTTTTATCACTTAATGTACTTTAATCTAAACGGTGCAAGAGCAACTTCAATACAGGTATTAGTATTACCCCTATTTACAGATAAGAAATGGAGACTGAGAAGAATGAAGTTAACCTATATGTGTGCATACATCTCGCAAAAAATAGAACTGACTTTTAATCTAGGTCTGTTTGACTTAAAAGTCTATTTACTTTTCACTATGAAGTTTGTTCTAAATGAGAATAATGTACTTTATCACCCTATAAATATTATAACAGTAAACATTGAAGTGGTATAAACTACAATGGAAGTTATCTAAGCCAGAAATTATTGTATAATTTAACACTAACTCACTTTTTAAAATTTTATATTTGCACTAATGAACTCCTTGCTCATATAGTTCTCATTACTTCCTCTACATAAATGCATCCAGATTTACATTCAGATCCAGCCACTTACTCTGTTATCAGATTAGATCAGTCTCTTGCAAAGTACCACCAAAAATGTGAAATATAATGTGTTGAAAGTTGCAAATATTTTTCCCATTGGGAAAGTCACACCTACTACTGTATATACTGTATATACTGTCATTACTGTATATACTGTATATACTGTCATTACTGTATGCACTCTATTTTAAATTTTAAATTTTCTTCCTGCTGAAAAAAGAAGGAAAAAAACACAAATAAGGCAATGATTAGAGTACTGGAGTGATTAATGAAGCTGATAACCTTAGCTAAGAAGGTCAAAAAATGAATTGGACACAGAAGCTAAAAAGATGATGAAGTGGAAGATTCCCTGGGGTGCAGACCTTTGAGATATCTTGATTATATTCAGTCAATCCTGGAGCAGCAGTGATAAGAAAAAAAACAGGATTCTGGTGATGATGGCAGCCTTTAAGACCACGGAGATGATAGAGAAACCAGTCCCAGGGGCTAAATTGGCTTGACTCAAGAAGAGAACCAGCCTGGACATAAAGTTGTTGAACAGACCACAGACATCTTTAATAGTACAGAGAAACAGTCAATGACAAGAAGAATTATTTGCAGGAGGTGGAAGAGGTGAAAGGGACTTGCAGGGGGAGTGCCAAGTAAAGATCCCTGGGATAGGCTGAGTGGACTAAGTCCACGCTGAGCAGAGAATTGTTTCCCTCCTAAGCCCAGGAGAGAAATATTTGAAAAAAAAAATCCAGAAATTCCTTCTGCATTCAGGGAGCAGGAGCTCTCACAGAGCCTTGAGGAAATAGAAGGCAAAAGGGCAGGGAAACCTGGTATGAAGGCAACCACCAGAGAGCTCACATGCAGAGAACAGGAAAACTGAAAGCTGCTATTGGCAGAGGAAGGATTTCACCAAATCTGCGTGCAGTGGGGATAACCAGAAGCTCGCTACCATACTGGTGTGTGTAAGATTGATGTCCAAACTGCTGGTAAACACAAGCAAAGGAAAGAAACTAAAATCCAAGTGTCCCATTAGGTGTTCCAAACAAACTATAATGTGAAACTGATGTTAAGTACATTTTGATAAGAGATCAGTACTGAAAAACTCATGTTGTGGTACGTTTTAAATTTTCTAGTAGATTTTTTATTGGTGTAGGCAAAAGGTTACTATGCAAGAACTTTAAGAAAATGTTTGATATTGTCTTTAATGAGTAGAAAAGAAAAGGAATTTGTTCACCTGTCTACCAAACGAAAAAAAACAGCTGAAGGCCCCTAGTGATTGGGTAGTGTGGCGGTAGTGGTGGTGGTGGCTATCTTGAAGTGAAATATCTATAAATCTCCAAGGTTCACTTTGGAAGGAAAACCTCAGGTGGAAAGAGGCAGCTGATCAAACAGCTTCTAGCCTTTCTCTCTGGCTTTCCCTCTTCCTCTGTGAGTCTCTCACTTAGAGTACTATTGCATTTCCAAAGTATAAGATGGACTATTGCCAGGGCCAACAGTTTCCAGTAGAACTGAACACTCCCCTCCATTAAAACAGGGAGATAGTTTCAAAGGGTATATTTATTGAGCCCATTAGCTCCTTTGGCACAGCAGCCCAACTGAAAAGTCAGGGACAGAGGTTCTGAGTTTTGTTATAATAAAGAAGGGAAGTTGTTGCTGCTGCTGTTGTTTCTTCTCATCAGCACCTTTCTATAGAATCAGAAGGAAAACTGTTAAAAAAAAAAAAAAAAAACCAATAAAAAAAGTGCAGCAAGAAGAGATTTGGTGAAATGTCAGGATTCCTTGTAGATGGGGATAGCTATGATGTACTACTCCTTTCCATTTGCCTCACACACAAAAACTGCATCGATAAACTAAGTGTCGTATTTACTTCTACACATGAATTCAATATAATGTTGAATGATATCTGAAAACATTTTGCAAATCACAGATGCAGTCCGGAGTCTCTCAGTAGTCTCCACCTCAGTTCTCACACTGAAGGAATATATAACTATAACGTGTGAGGATGCACTCAGATGTTAACTCTCAAGCCCAGTCCACATGGATCTAGATTTCATTTCTGAGAGAGAAATCAGGAAGTTTCTTCTAACTGATTTTGCTACCTTTGGAGTAGAAGGAGATAGAGGAAACAAAGAATAACTTGAGTTCTGACAATGCAAGGACAAACAGACTAAATTAATTAAAATAGATGCTTACAAAATCTAAAAGTACAAACCGTGCTTTTGAAAACTATTTGGCTTTTCTATGCAGGATGGACAACATGTTCATATTGGACTATAATGTATGTTATTGAGCACCTAAAATATGCTATTGGCACTGCTAATTAATACTCATGCAATAGGCACTTGCAGTGATTTGTGTATCCTCATCTTGCCTTCCTAAATTCCTCCAAAGCCAAAACTGCTTTATGTTTTTTCTGTAGTCCCTCTGCTCAAGAGTTGCTTTTCCAGGCCTGGTGCAGTGGCTCATGCCTGTAATCCCAACACTTTGAGAGGCCAAGGCGGGTGGATCATCTGAGGTCAGGAGTTCAAGACCAGCCTGGCCAACATGGTGAAACCCCCATCTCTACTAAAAAAAAAAAAAAATAGCCACACATGATGGCGAGTGCCTGTAATCCCAGCTACTTGGGAGGCTGAGGCAGGAGAACTGCTTGAACCCAGGAGGCGGAGGTTACAATGAGCTGAGATCATGCCACTGCACTCCAGTCTGGGCAACAGAGCAAGACTCCGTCTCAAAAAAAAAAAAAAAAAGAGTTGCTTCTCTAAACTTGCACAAGACATCCTTACTCATATACTCCTGGGAACATTCTATTTGTATTGTAGTGCCTGCCAAAGTGTCCAGAACAACCCAAGACACAGAGAAGGCACTTGAAATGTGTTGGTATCTGGAATGTGATTGGCTGACTTGGGAGCCAGTGGTGTGCTGGGCCTGCTCCTATGAGCTCTGCAGATCAGACTGTGACACGTCTCTACATTCAATCACCTCATCTTCATAGTTTGAAATTGGCTATGGTGGGAGGGAGCATTTATACCACAGAAATTGTCCAATTGGTTTTAAGCATTCTGAATATAAGCAATCTGTCTTCCATTTCTCTTTTATTCCATCTAGCTTTTAAGCTGTTTTGAATTTAGCAGTCAAGAATTTCATGTGAGAATTGTACTTTGAGTAACTACATTTATCTTTTAAAAAAATCATTTTTAGTTTTTGAAGAAAAGCAATTATTTTGTACATACCTTTTTATATCATTTTAGACAATCATTTTCAAATAAGACAGTTCTTTGCTTAGTTTATATAAGTAGTAATTACAAAGAAAAATGTGCTGTTCTATTTTTCCCAAAATTGTTATTAAATAATCAGTAAAGATGCTAAAATTTTCTTTGTTTAATGACCAGGAAATTAAATTGTCTAGTTTGTAAAGTTAGAAAATAACTGTGTATTAGAAAGTTAATTCCATTGCATTAAAATTGGTGTTTTTGGAAATTATCTTACTATCTGACGAAATAATTGCTATTTTAGCCAAATGCATAACACTTTCTGTCTAAAATGGCCTTTGTAATATTAAAATATGAACATTCATTTTCCAGAACATGCATTGGAGAGACTACGGTATTTTGAAATTAAATTAGTTGTTTAACAAAGAGAATAATACCCCATATCCTTTGGAAAGGCAGTAGAGTGCTGTCCTTAGGAACAGAAAATGTGGGGCTAACTGCCAGAATTCTAGTCCCAGAAACTCCCTTTATTAGCAGTGTGAGTTTAGGAAAGTCAGATAACTTCTGAGTACCTCAGTTTCTCCCTGTGTTCAATGGGGATGGTAATAGAACTGGTTTCATACGTTTATGGTAAGGATTAAGTGCTGCACATGTAAAACACTTGGAATAATACCTAGTAATCAATAAGTGTTCAATAAATGCTAATTATAGCCAGGAGTGGTGTGTTTGTAGTCCCAGATACTTAGGAGGATTGCTTGAGCCCTGGAGTTGGAGGCTGCATGTTCATTCCTTTGCACTCCAGCCTGGACAATGAAAGAGTGAGACTTTGTCTCTAAGAAGGAAAGAAGGAAGGAAGGAAGGAAGGAAGGAAGGAAGGAAGGAAGGAAGGAAGGAAGGGAGGGAGGGAGGGAGGGAGGGAGGGAGGGAGGGAGGGAAAGAGGGAGGGAGGGGAGGGGAAGGGAGGGAAGGGGAGGAAAGACAGAAAGAAAGAAAGAAGGAAAGAAAGAGAGAGAGAAAGAAAGAAAAAGAGAGAGGAGAGAAAAAGAGAAAGAAATAAAGAAAAAAGAAAGAAAAAGAGAAAGAGAGGGAGAGAGAAAGAAAAAGAAACAAACAAAGAAACAAAGAAAGAAAGAAACACTAGTTACTATTATTTCTAGCATCTATGTGTCTCAGCCCAGAGTCATACATATACTGGGTACTTAATAAACGTTTCTAAATTGGTTAATTAAATGACCGGTTACTAGCATAGAGCAAAGGAATAAAGACTGAAAACCTACTGGGTACCAAGAACACAGCTGTGAACAAAACAAGCAAGTTCCCTGAGCTCATAAAGTTTTTAGCTCTGTGTTGTTCAGCCCAAAAATATATAAGGAACTGATATTAATGTTTAGGAATTAAAAGAAGGATCTGGATTATAAACTCCCTGACAGCATATATTAAAGACTGTATTAAAGGCAAATGAATTCAAATATAAAAATTTGGCTGTGTGTAACAGAGACCCAAAAGAGCTTTTGCGGAAAGGAGATAGAAAATTCTTTCTCATGTAACAGTCCAGAGGTGGGCCATCCAGGGCTCTGCAAAAGTCTAGGTTCTCAGATGCTTCTGTCTTATAGCTCCACCACTCCAGGGTATTCTCTGTCTTCATGGTCCTGGATGGCTCCTCACCACGCCCAAATTCCAAGCAATAGATTGGAGGAAGGAGGAAGAACATACCCCCTCCATTAAGAGGGAAGTGAATATGAAATTATTTTCTTCACTTCTGGGCATAGCCTATTATGTTCACATAGCCACCCCATCTACAAGGGAGCCTGGCAAAATATTTTTATTCTGAGGGCCCTTGTACCCACCTAAAATCGAGAAGATGCAAAAAAAACAAATCTTGAAGGACAGCTAATAGTCTCAGCCACGTTCCATCCCTTTTATGAAGTTTTGCCAAATTCTCCAGAGAAACCCTCGTTCGCCTCCCAAGGAATGTGATCCCAAAGCCTCTTCCAGTTCCTGCATCTAGATCAAGGTTCTCTGGGTGAGATTAACTCTCTACATTAGGTCTCAATGTGGCTCTTTGGGATATGGTGGCTATAAACTAACAGACAAGTAATCCACCCAATATAAAATGAAGGACAGGAGCAAGATGACAAAAGTAAAAACTTCTGTTAGAAGAGGGAAAATGAGAAACACAGCTGTCATCGATCTATAAGATTTATCAAGTCCTGTTGGAAAGGAATTGTGGAAACTTCCTACCCTGCTGGTGGTATGAATCCTTCAGTCAGCCCATTTGGGAACCGTGGCTTCAGCTCTCTGGGAGGATTTGTTGTCCATTGTCTTCGATGGCCACATCTAAAGCGGACTTTGGATGGTATTCCTTCTTGGGGCTACCACAGCTTTCACACACTGCTTCTTGCTGATGTCGATTTATGGATTCAGGAGTTGGGTTGGTTTGTCACAGGTTTTAGCCAGCCAGTTTTCTGGCTTCTTTGGCAATACAATTCCTTTATAACTAGAAGAATGCCTTCCAGGCCATTTGTTTCTGCTCAGTTCCATGTGTGGGTAATCACAGCCAAGGCTCTGGTCTTGATATAGATGTTAAGACTAAGAGTTCTGATTTTTATAAGGACCTCAGTGTCACTTAGATTCCCAGAGGAAGGATTCTTTCATAGTGGAGACTCTCTTCCACTTTTCTGCCCCACACTGGGAAGGGTATTAAATTACAGTCCACTCTTCTGTCAAAATAGTGCCTGTGGGTGATATGCTCACTCCTAGCCACAGCCACTCAGCTCCTGGTCGTAGAGCCAGTCTTCCAAGCCGTCCTTAGGCCCACAAGCATGTGTCAGCTCTCAGCCTGAGCTTGCCAATAATTATCGCTCTTTTAGCCCCACTCTTCAACAATGTCTGTTTCCTTTCACTAAGCCTCCACATAAAAGATGTCCTCTCTTGAGGCTGTCCATATAGGCTGTCCACATAGCCACCTGTGCTGCAGAGGTCACACTCACAACTTTAGAATGGAGTTCTTCTGTGCTTTCTTGCCCAGAAACATGTCTCCTTTGGCCCTGCCCAGCACCTTAAGCTACAAGGCCCAGGGAAGTAATCGTGCTGGGCAGGGAACTAAGATACATTCAGTAACGAAAAGACTTATTTTACTTTATAACTTTTATGAATGTATATGAATATATACACACACATATATACATAGACATATAAACGTATTTTATATATGTATATATGCAAGCTGGGCCATTCTAGTTCTCTTTCCTCACTGCACTATAAAGGGCTGCTCTGTAAGAATCTACCTGGTAAGAGGCAAGCATGAATCTTTCTGTTTGTCAGGCTCCAGACTTCCCAGAATTCTCTTCCCACACTCTGCCTAAGGGGCAACAGTGGAGCAGCTTGCAGATGTTCTAGCATAGCAAGCCTCCAGGATGAGGCCCCAGTCTCTTCTTCCAGGGGACTCGTGGTGTTTAGGACCTCTTACTTGTCTTGGAGAAATGCTACAGCACTACTTACCACAGCACTGCTTACTGAAAATGTACTAGTCCTATGCATTCTCTGTTTCAAAAGATTCTTGAATGTCTAATCTTTTCCCTATATAAGTGGTAATGTGGGGGATGGAATCAGGACCACTGAGCTACATTTCAGGAAGTCCTGCAGAATTTCTTTAAAATGTGGGGGTATCTTAGCATCTAGTGGTCCCAACTTTGAGGCTTTAGCTGAAATCTGAGATAAGTCTCATTCAACATTCTGTTGCTAATAATAGTAATAATAATAATTGTAATAATAAGAATATTAGCTAACTTTAAAACAGTGTGCTGGGCAGTGCTCTACACACTTTAAATTTATTAAATGGTTAACCATCTAACAATCATATAAAGTTGGGTCCCCATTTTACAGATGCAGAAACTGAAGCATAGAAAACCTAAGTAACTCGCCTAAGTTAGCATAACTACTAATGGCAGTTCGGATATTTAACGCCAGGCAGCCTAGCTGTAGGGTTTGTACTCTTAACTATGACACTTTCCTGCCTCTTCCTGTTAAGAGATTTGGACTTTAGACTGAGAGTGATAGAAAGAACTTGACTCTCCCTTTATCTATAAAAAAAGGATAATAAAACATACCTTGTACAGTGATTTGAAGGATTAGATAATATAGATGAAGATTCTGGAACCAGCCCTGATATTGAGTAGTAACTTGATAATAAATGATAATAATTATTATTTTTTCCCTTTCTGTGTGAGGTAGTTGATGCCAAGCCAGCACCAAGAAAATCTAGAACAGTCATTCTTGTAGAATAAGAAAGTGCCCATTCCACTCCCCACTCCCAAATTCCCAAATCAGCTGGCAGAGATATTCAGCCCCACATATGATTCCCCTAGATAATAATGAAAGGATAGGAATTGTGTTTCAAATCAACATACAGCCAGCCGTGACCATATGCAATAGTTCGTTTCCCGTTAGGTTTATTACTTTGAAGACTGCGCCAAAGAACCAGAGACAAGTTGGAGAAACTGAGACTGAGTCTAAACCCTCTGATTCTCCTTGATCAAGTTCCCATCACAGAGTCTGGAGAAAGGCTGTTAACTTTTATCTTCCCTGGCAGGCAAAGTGTCAGAATTAGTCCCAGACAAAGGACTATGCAAAAACACTAGATGATGTAAACCCCCTCCATGGGTTGAGTTGACCAGAGCATTAGACAATTCCAGTTTGAGGCTGGTGATACCTGTACAAACCGGATAGGTTTTAGTTTCTACAAAGCCTGGGGTATTAGGAAAAGACTTGATTACCTGTGGCTTAGTTTGAATTAGAAGGCAAAACAATTACACAAAAGCCCTCATTTAACTTTTAAGTGGTATTAGGCCCACACTAACTTTATGACACTAGGTTGCTTAAAACGAATGGCAGTTTCTCACATGCCTTAGAAAAAAATGTGGGGCTTATATGTTTTTCCAAATTATGAGGCACTGTGCCCAAGACAGGCAGATAGAAAGGGTACATTAGACAAAACCAAATGTACCAGTCACTCAAAGCAAGTGACAAGAGAAGAGCAATTTCATTTTTATTTTTCCACTCACATAGAAAGGCAGTGTGGCATAAGGGAAGAGCCAGGTTTCGGTCCTGTTTCTGCTGCTCAAGTTCCATGTCATTAGGAAAAAAAAAAAAAACAACTGAATTACTTTTTGTCTTACTTTCCTCATTTATAAATAGTAAGCTGGACTCTAAAAATCTGTTTGAATTCTTGGGAATTTAATTATTATCACTCAAATATGGGAGATTTGAACATGAAAACAAAGAATGTGAAGAATAGAGATTGAAAGACAACTGGAAAAGTAAGCATCGCCAATCTGCAGATGAGCGCTTCCTTCCTCTTTGTAATTTGATAGTCTTCAGGAAACTGTCTGGTTCCCAAGGGGAGAGGAATGAGGGTGTGTGCAGGGGAAGTCACACAGGCAACTTAAATGTTTTCCCAGAACCCATGGATAGTCCATGCACTTCGATTTGTGCGATGCAGTCTCTCTAGAGAATATATATATATATTTATAATGTTCTCTAACTTTGTGTGACCTCACATATTTAAAATTCCTGTATCAATTTGACTCACTGCCACATTTCCTTCTGTGGGGAAGAGGAAGCTACAGACCTCAAATGGCTTTTACATTGCCGGCATGACAAGTTCCCTGTACATATGGAATAGCAGATGCCTATGTATATATATATATATTCCTTTTCAGTGCGTACATAAATATTAAATTCTCTATTTCTCTAGCACCTAGAAAAATTCAGAAACTTAAGGTTGATTCAAAAATCAAACCAATATTAAACTAATATTTTGTAATTGAGTAACTCTACCTGTGCTGATACTGATTCTGGTGGGCACTTATAGCTCTCTGGTTGCCAGGGACATCTTACCAGGAGTGTACTAAAAAATAAAATAATGCACTGGCTTTGCAGTATGAAAGCAGCGTCCATAAACCACAATATCTCTCTGTGAGGAAATAGACTTCCTGTCTGCTATTTTTTTATGTGCCCAATTAAGTGCAGATTTTTGGCTGCATGAGCAACATAACTGCAGCATTTTTCCAGAAAAACCAAGAAATGAACTAAAAACTAAAGAAAAGTCTTATAAGAAGATGGTCTGATAAGTGCTGTGAGATAAAATTTTTTTTCTCATTTTATACCTGATACCTTCCAACCTGGACGTGACCAGTCTCAAGCTTAGCTACTTTAGATCACATTTCTAATGCTCTGGCAGCTCCTCACCCCAGAGGGATTTTCACTGAGTAAGGTGAGTACATTTCAAGGCCTTATATGGAATAAAATAGCAGGGTATGAAGGCGGGGTGGGTGATTCAGTGAGTAGGGTGTCTGAGAATTAAAAATCAAAGTTAACTGAGATTCTTTGATGGAAAAATAGGGGCTAGATAACCTGGTTCAAAAGAAATAAGAACCTGCCTAAAACCTAGTTGCCACAATAAAATCAAACCTGAACATGTGAGGTCTGAAAAAGTTCATAGATTTTAACTTTAGTACTGAGTTAAACACACCTGTGTACTTTCTGGCTTAAGTCAGAAGCAGAAAACTAGAATCCTGTGAGAAACACTCATTTGGAAGACAGGACAAGTTAAGTGCCCAAGCTTCACTGATACTCTCTCTGCTACCTCAGAGAGTGCAGCTCCTTCAAATATACACTCCTCAAATCTGGATAAAAGCTTCGGTGGGTCCCACTAGGTCAATCTTTTCCTGTAAGTAGTCATCAAAAAAAAGTACCTCGGTGCTAGAGTTGGAGTCAGCACCAGTCTTGAAGACATAAACAGTCTTGACAGCACCTAGAATAAACATGTGCTTGTCTGTATCATAGAAGGACAACAGATACATTTTAAGGGGAAAGCCCAAATCAGCTGGAAATACCTTTGCTCTGATGTGAGGGCTTGAATCCTCCCCTAGAACACAGGTAAATAGATTTAATATCTTCTGAGTTTTTGGCTTCTTTACTCTGGATTACCAAATTTTGGAATTGCTATTAAGAATGAAGATACAGAACCCATCAAGGTTTAATTGCTTAGTCTTTCTGCCCTGGGTAAAATGTAGGTAAGATTTTCTTCTACGTCTCTCCCAATCTAGTCCTTTGACCAGTTCTAACTCAGTGAAATACCCCTAAAGCTTTACTGTTCGTTTGGTCAAGCTACTTTTCTTCTACCTTCATTTTCCTCATCCGTTAAATGTGTTTGGTAATGTATACTGTATATACTTTATACTCCTGGGATGATAGCAAATCAGATAATATAGCTAAAAATGAAGTCTACAAAAAAAATGAGTCTTTGCATGTGTAAAATTCAGCCTCCTCATGGTAAATCCAAACCACAATTGTTGTTTTCAAAATAAAGATTATAAATAGAAAGCAAAATAAAAACACATGCCTCAGTGTAGACTGGTATGAGAATTTTAAGGCATGCATAGGTTCAATGGAAATGCTGACTTATCAGAAGCAGGGAAAAAAAGCCCAGTGCCTGAGCCATAGTGTCAATAGCTAGGCTTATGTTTATAATTAATGGGTTGCGGCAATTCTGATAACATTATTGCATGTTTATAGATGAATGTATTTTGCTCTACCTCTTGTCATTTGAAGTTTCAATATAAGCCCTGGTTTGAGTCCTAGTTTGAAATGTAAATGATATTGGACATGAAATAAGCTTCTTAAACCCGCATCACACCCTCTCAGGAGTCTACATGCCTTGTGAACCACTACACTGCTGTTCAAAAAGTGCCCTTCTAATGAGGCCAATTCTGACTAATGCATATTCCAAGAATAATACTTGACCAAAATTGAATGCAATTCTCGTGTACTTATTATAATTTTCTATGACAGAGAGCAGAGGCTAAATTCGGTGAAAGTATTGTTTTTCTTCTAAGCTTGGGTCTGCCAAAATTTGTTTTTATTCCCCTCCCTAATCCCCCCGCCCCCCCGCAGTTATTCCTTCTGGAATGATGTGTTGATCATGACCAACTGGGAAACTTGCTGGCATCTGTATTGTGCCCGTTTTCACCACTTTCCTTTGCCCCTTAGATAGGTTTTTGGTACAGAACGGAAATATTCCCAAGTGGAAGAATCATTAACAACCACAATGTCAAGAGCAGCCTTGAAAGGAGGCATCTGCTATTCCATATGTACAGGGAACTTGTCATGCCGGCAATGTAAAAGCCATTTGAGGTCTGTAGTTTCCTCTTCCCCACAGAAGGAAATGTGGCAGTGAGTCAAATTGATACAGGAATTTTGAATATGTGTGGTCACACGAAGTTACAGAAGATTATAAATTCAGCATTAGAAACCGAAAGAAAAAAAAAGACAAGCCACAGGTAGTATTCTCATATTATATTTGCTTGAGCTGTCAGAACAAAATACTAGAGAGAAATATTTTTATGACATGGAGACGGATCTGCTTGCCAAAATTATTTTCCACTAACTTAAAGCTATGTATCACTGTGCAAATCTAAACACTCCTATCCTTGTAGCATCAACCATTCATCTTATTACTGGCTAAAGAATGCCCATCTCAAATAAACAAGTGTACAAGGTAGTGAGGTACAGGGTGTGAGGCACCAGAGGAGGAAGGCGCCCGCCTTCAGTGGGATGGATGACATGTGTTCAAAGATCTTGAGTAGCTTTAACTTGACGGCAAGGGCTACAGTCTAGGCTCCAAATATATAGTACACTTCACTCTGTGTTTGTTTGTTAAGAAGTGAGAATTGATCACCAAGTTCAGTGGGAACTGTTGTATGGGGATTCAGTAGGCTTGTATTTTTTTCTCCAAAGCTCACTGCATGTTTTTTCTTGCCTTTCCTGTGACCCTTACTTAGCCATGTCTCCAGATGATCTCCTAGAGCAAATCTTTAAATTTTAAAAACATCCTTGTGAAGTTATGTAGACATTACCATATGCTGAACCTATCATTACTGTTGGACTTTGCTTCCCAGACACGGAGAATAAAGCAGGTGTCTACTTCTTCCTCTTTTGTGGTGTCTTCCCATTTAAATGGCTTATTGATGCAAGTACTGCAGCACAAATGAATGCTGATGCCAGCTCTGCCCATGTACATGCCCACAGAAGAAGCACTGAAGGGATAGCAAGAATGCATCACACACTCCTCATGACTACTGACCCACACTCCTTGTCCTGGTTACCTTAAGAAGTCTCTGTGATCCACTCAGGATTCAGGGCACAAGCAGTATCATGGGCCACTCAGACCTATAGCACCCAGGACACCAGGACAGAATATTCAGAGAGTCCCTTCAAACATGGAGACTATCTTGGCAGTAGTGTTGGAGAATGGTGCCTGTGGTCCACAAATGTTTATCAATGAGGGGAGGCTGATGACAACTGATCTTTATTAAGGGACTTATATCTCACAAGGTGCTTTCACATCAATGATTTAATTTCCACAATTTATCTGGGGTGTAGTTTTTTTTATTATTCAAATGGGAAAACTGGGCAGTGAGTAGTTCACTCATCCAACTAATATTTATTGAGGGCTTGCTATGGACCTCTGTTCTAGGCACTAGGGGTAAAAGAGTAAACAGAACAGACAAATTTCCTTCTCAGGTCACTTGTATTCTAGTTGATGCAGAGAAGGGAGACAGACAATAGACGAACACACAGGTGAAGTCTACAGTCTGTCAGATGGAGATACTGCAATGGAGGGCAATGATTCCCAGTGGGGAATAGGGAAGAGTTTCCATTGTAAATAAGGCAGTCAGAAAGTGCCTTGTTGAAAAGGTGACCCTTGAGTAGATAGCTATAGAAGCTAAAAGAGCTAATCAGACGGACACTCAGAAGCAGCATCCTAGAGGCCCCCTGAAGTGCCAAGCATTACTGCTTGAGTTAGTGAATAGCGGAGTCACCCCCTGATGGATTTTAGGGAAATTTCAATGGAAGGAAACTGGGAAAAGATATTTACCAAAGGAGACAAAGGGATTTCACTACTCACACCCTAGTTTCAGTGTGAGCCAGTTTGATATCAGCTCTAACAAGAAACCAAGGCTGAGCCTGCATGGAGGAGTAATGTGATTGGGTTTGATCTGCCTGAAGTATTGAGAATAGACTCTAGAGAGGCAAGGGTGAAAATATGGAGACCAGTTAGGTGGCCACTGCAGCAATCTAGTGAGAGGTGATGGATCTGGTGTGAGAGAGGAAGACCATGTGAAGCATTACATGAGGAACTGAAAGATTGGAGTTGCAATCAACTGAGATAGGAAAGACTGGAGGTGAAGCAGGATTGGAAAACAAGATCAAAAATTTGATTTTAGACATGTTAAGTTTGAGCTGAGTTAAGTTTATTGACTTAAATGCACCAATACAACAGCCCTGTGAGCTAAGTACTGTGTTACTATCTTCAATTTTTAGTTGAGATAACTTGGCTCAGAGAGTTGTGATGACTTACCCGTAGTCACACAGCAAGCAGATAGTACATCAAGGACTCAAGCAAGATTTTTCAATCTGAGTTGAATGCTTTTCCTAGGACCCCACAGATGAGTACCAAACAGTGCTACCGAAGTAGATAACTGATGAGAATTTCTTTTTCTGTGACTCACTCTAAGGCAGGATTTAAATCAAAACTTTTAAAGTCTAAGATTTAGAGAATCTGCTGTAAAAGGGGAGAAGAGTTTAATTTTATATCCACTTGAGAAACCAAAGTTTTTTTCTTTCACCCTTAAAAAATAAAACAAAACCGAGGTGAGCCTAAGGCCAGCATGCTGATTGCATCAGAGAGACGAAGATGAAATGAGGAGAGAGGAAAACGGGCATGAGCCCTAAATCAGCACGTTAAAGGGGCTGGCCTGGGAGGTTTGTATTATCAGACGTTAGTCAGAGAGGGACTTTCTTTTGCTGGCTTAGAAGAAAACTGAAATAACACATTAATTTTAGGTCCTTTGATATTTTTTCCTGGAGATGTTTTGTTTTGATACATCCAACAACAGCCAAAGAGAAAGCCTCAGAAGACAGACATAATAAAAACAGCTGATGATCCCTAGTCACTAAGCATAAGTTCCACTGTCTTAGTCTTGCCCAGCCCAAATCAGCAGCTCACTAAGAAGCTACAGGACATCCTGGAGGATTTAAAGAGCAAGCCTCAATGTTTCAAAGTTCCAGCATCAGGACTTCTTCCTTCAGTTAATGGCTTTGAGAACTGTTAAAATTCAGATGTTTCTGAGAAGGATAATGTTTTAATTAATAAAGAGATCACTGAGTGTGTTGGAGGGATTTACTAACAGAAAACTAAATGGCTCAGCATCGAAAGCTCTTTCATTTTTGGGCAGAGGGACGGCTGGCTTCCAGTAGTTTATAAACCAGGGTACCATTGTTCGGGTAAAGAAATGAGAGGGAAAACTGGAATGTGTACTTACTCATTCAACCATCATTTATTGTGTAAAAATAGTGACTGATACGGTTTGGCTTTGTGTCCCCACCCAAATCTCATCTTGAATTGTAATTCCCACACCTGGTGGGAGGTGATTGGATCATGAGGTGGTTTTCCCCATGCTGTTCTCCTGATGGTGAGTGAGTTCTCACAAGATCTGATGGTTTAAAAGTGTTTGTCAGTTCCCCCCTTTCTCTCTCCTGCCACCAGGTAAGATATGCCTTGCTTTCTCCTCACCTTGCACCATGACTATAAGTTTCCTGAGGACTCCCCAGCCATGCAGAACTGTGAGCCAATTAAACCTCTTTCCTTTATAAATTACCCAGTCTCAGGCAGTTCCTTATACCAGTGTGAGAGCAAACTAATACAGTGACATAACTATAAAAATTGGGACCTGGAAGAAAGAGTTGAGAGATGCTATAAGTGAAGTACATTTTTCATCTTTTATATTGCAGAGTCAACGATATTGTATAAAACTGACAAATCAGTGAAAATGAAAACAATGACTAGAATGACTAAAAACAGAAATTGCTGGGGGGTTTTGTTTTTTTGTTTTTCTCCCTCTGTTGCCCAGACTGGAGCACGGTGGTGCGATCATGGTTCACTGCAGCCTCGAACTCCTGGCCTCAAGTGATCCTTCTGTCTCAACCTCCCAAAGTGTTGGGATTATAAGCATGAGGCACTGTTTCCTGTCTTAAAAACAGGAATTGTTTAAGGTGGTTTTGGGAGCACATGGAAATCAGGAGGGGGTTAAGGAAGGATGGATAAAATATCTTGCATGTTATGCTCTTCTGTACTGCTTGCCTTTTTTAAAAAAAATGTACGTATGTATATTTCATGTAAAAGTTTGAACTGAATAAGTACATTAATATTTTATTTATGTTAACAAGGCTGTGGGAATAAATGGTGAATAAGACACACTTGTTTTCTGCTATCATAGAAGCTTAAGAACTGAACACTCTGAAGCAGAGGAAGTGTTAAAAAAAATCTGAGGTAAGGTACAACAAAGGAAAAACTGAAGTAGGATAAAAAGAGGGAAACTTGGAGCTTGTTCCTGCTAGTGCCTCATCCCTCTGTCTCTGATTAAGTTAAAATGAAGAAAGGACATGCTATATTCCAATTGGTAGACATTTTGCAGTTGTGCAAAGGCAAGCTATGCCTGGCCCTACCATATTCCTTACCATACTCCTCCTACTTCCTTTTCTTTTTCCTGAAAAGAGCAACTTTGTAGATCCTTTTTTCAGTAGGAATTGATCCACCCACAGAAGAAGATGTGTAGGATGAGTGGGAAACAGGCACAGGAGAGGAACTCAGTTCTTTCTTACATTCATTTCCCTTGGGATTCTGCAACTCTGCCCTGGCTGTATACTTGCTTCCCAGACTCCTCAACTGAATCATAAGGAAGACGTTTCCAAAAATAAATTGCCAGAAGCAAAGGGGTTAATAAATTTAAATATGCTTAAGGTGAATCATTCACAGAACTTCAGACTTCAAACATGGAATCATTAAAACTATTAGTGTTAACTCCAAGTTCTGTTTCTCAAAAGCTGGGGATGTCAGGCTACTTCTGTTTTAATAACTCTGGCAACTCTTTCTTCACATAATTAGTTTCAGTGTATCAAGACTTTTTTTCTTAGCCCATATTGAAGGATTCCTGAAATGGTTAGTTCCTTAGAAAAAAACGTTAAAACTCAATGGCTCAAAGTCACTACCAACCCAGGAGAATCAGCATAATTTTACAATTAGAACTCAGGCTTTTTACTGACAGTAACACTAGTTTACAATTGCACTCATGCATTCATGGTCTGCAATCAACAAAATTTAATTCGTGTCTATTGTGTGACAAAATTACAATAGGTGTAGATACTAGGATGAAATAACAAGTCCTTGCTCTTAAGAACTTGTGAATTGTGAACTTGTAAAATCAAAATAAAGCATAATAAATGCCTTAATAAAGCTGTAATAGAATAATATTTTTGTTTCTTTCCTATTAAGTAAGCTTATCAGCATAGTTTCCCATCAATCTTTATGTATTAGGAAGAGGAGAATGATAGATGCTACTGAAGGGGATTAAAGGGTGCTTCTTTGAAATACGCCACTTTGGTATAAGGATTATTCTGAGCTGGAGTTAGTTGAGAAAAACTGATGCAGGAAAAGCTTTCAACCCTCCCCTTTCAGTATAAAAGCAGGGGACAAATTTTCATTTATAAAAGTGTCTCCCTCTCCCATACCAGGAAGAGGAAGAGGACTCACATCAGTGGAGAAGGCACCAGTTTGAGTACGTAGAGTATGCATAACAAACCCTACTGAACAACCCTTATCTTCCACTCTTTCTCCCCATGTATTTACCTTTCCACAATTTACTGGCCCTAGAAGCCAAACCCTCTCCCTTCCTTTGTCTGGTTTCTTCTCCAGAATGTATTGATTTGTTAAAATGACATATAAACTCATTGGTCTAACCCCTTCTTTGAGTCTTTACCTCTTTTCCATGAAGGCCTCTGTATAGACATAATCAACTCTTCTGTTAATCTGTCATTTGTCGGTTTAATTTGAAGGACCCTAGTTGCCGAGCCTAGGAGAAAAAGTTGTTCTTCCCTTAAGCCACCTATAGATGGATATGATGTAAGAAAAGTCCATTTTATAGAGGAAAACAAAGTAGAAATCCAGTATCATCCAGCTTGCAGGATTATGAGAAGAAATGATGATGAAAATTGAAGAGTTCAAACTCATATAATTGCATTTCACCACTCCCTCTCACCTTGAAAAAGAAGCTTGGTTAGGGTGGGTGTATTCATCTGTTTTGCGTTGATATAAAGGAATACCTAAGACAGGATAATTTGTAAGGAAAAGGGGTTTATTTGGTTCATGGTTCTGCAGGTTGTACAAGAAGCATGATGCCAGCATCTGCTTCCAGTGGGGGCTTTGGGGAAGGCTTAGGGGAGCCAGTATCACATGGCAAGTGGAAGAAAGCAAGAGAGACAGGAGGAGGTGCAAGGCTCCTTTTAACAATCAAATATTTTGGTAACTAATAAGGTGAGAATTCATTCATTACTATGAGGGCAGCACCAACTTGTTCATGAAGGACCAGCCCCCATTGCCCAAACACCTCCTACTAGGCCCCACCTCCAACAATGGGGATGAAATTTCAACATGAGATTTGGAGGGGACAGTTATTCAAACCATATCCATGAGGTACATAGAAATATCACTATAGGTATAAACACATCAGAGATAAAGATAGCCTGGAGATGTTCCATGCCTCTAGTAGAAGCCAGCATTCAGCCTGATATACTGCCAATAATTTATATCGTAATTATTCTTTCTCAAAAGGACTATAGGCATTTATCATCATGACTGTGCATTGAAGAAATGAAAGTAACCAGATTTAGTGGAAATTATTGGACACTGATTGTGAACTCACACTAATTCCTGAGACTCAAAGTCACTGTAGCTCAACAGTCAGAGTAGGCAGTAATGGAGTTTGGGTGATCAATGTAATTTTGGACCAGAGCTGTCTCACTATAGACCAATGGAGCTCCAATACTATCTCATGTTTATTTTCAAATTCCAGAAGGTATCATTGAAATATACATACTCAACAACTGGCAGACTCCCTATATTGGTTTTTTGACCTATGGAATAAGAACTATTGTGATAAGAAAGAACAAGTGGAAATCCCCCAAATCTCCTCCACCTACCAAAATATTAAACCCAAAGTAATACAACAGTCCTGAAAGGACTATAGAGATTAATGACATAATCAAGGAATTAAATGATGGAGAAGTGGTGATACCTAACACAGCCCTGTTCAAATAACCTTTTAATTCTGAGCATAAGACAGACAGATTCTGGAAAGTGACAGTGTATGATCATAAATTCAATAAGATGGTGAGTCAAATCACAGTTGCTCTTACAGATGACAGATGTGGTTTTTTTACTGGAACAAATCAACACATCTCTGCTGGTACCTTGCATGGTTATTAATCTAGTAAATGTTTTGTGGTTGTTATTTAGCCTGTTAGTAAAAACCACCAAAAGCTTTGTGCTTTCAACTTGAAGGAGCACCAATAGACATTCACTATTTTACCACTGTTCAAGGTTATATTAACTCTCAATATCCAATCTTAATCCAAAGGACGTTGGTCGTATCTCCATTCCACAGAACAAACGCTGTGCAAATACACTGAGGATATCATGCTGATTGAATGTGTTGAGTAAAATACAGTAATTACTCAAGAAACCTTGGTAAGATATATACATACTAGAAGATGGGGCATAAATCCTACAAAAATTCAAGGGCCTATGACAAAGTAATACACACCAGATTTACCCTTCTACCACAAGCAGTTGTAAAACTGGACACCATTTTTATTCAGAAATGTACTGGAGGTTCTAGTCAGTGCAAAAAGGCAAGAAAAATGAATTAAAGCCTTAAATATTAGAAAGGAAGTGGTAAAAAGTATTTGAATGATGGTATATGTAGAAATCACAAGGAATTTTTAAAAGTTACCTTGCTAGAATAATTTCAAATGCTGAATTAATAAACTAAATTAATAAATTAACAAACTAATTATATTACATTTGTGGTCCATACAGTATAATAATACTAAGCAATGAAAAGTGGTGAACTACGGATAAAAGCAACAAGGAAGATTCTGAAAACATGATGGGTGTAAGAAGTCACTTACAAAACAGCATAGTGTATGATTCCACAAATGTGAAATTCTAAAATGTGGGAAATATAGTTTGTAGTGACTGAAAGACTACAGTTGTCTCAGCCCAAGAGTGGGGAATTATCAAGTGCAAAGGAAAAGAAGAGAACTTTTTAGGGTGATAGAAATGTTTTATATCTTGACTGTGGTGGTAGTTACTCAAGTGTATATATTTGGCAAAAGTCACCAAACTGTAGACTAAAATGGGTGTATTTTATTGTATTTAATCATACTTCAATTATGTTGCTTTTTATAAATCTAAACCTATTGTCTCAGGGAAATTTTTATTGATACAAGATGAAGAACAAGTTGTTCTCTCTGGTCCTTGTTATCACTAAAAGAGGTCCACTGCTGCCATTGCTTTAGGAGGAATGTTTAGTGACTTAAGTGATTTTCCAATTCTCCCTTCTGGACCAGAACTTTCCTAGCTGCTCTCACAATTGTGTGGAGTCTGATCCCTAGAATAAAGTTTTTATTTCATAATACTCTTAGTTGATCTGCTCCTCCACATGGTTCCTTAACAGGAATCATCCCCAAGTTACACACAGAAAAATATACAGAAGAGTCAAAGGGCTAGCTCTTTGTACTTCCAGGAACTAAACTTCAGATCTTACAACCATGGCCTGGAGAGCCTTCCATAACCCACTAGGTTAGTGTTTTCGGTTTGTTTGTTTGTGGTGAGAACATTTAACATGAGATCTGTCCTCTGGACAAAATTTTAAACGCACACTACAGTATTGTAAACTATAGGCACCAAGCTGTACAGCAGATCTCTAAAACTTACTTTGAAAAACTGAAACTATATACTTGCTGAACAACTACTCCCTATTTTTCTTTCCCTCCCAGTCCCTGGCAAACACCATTCTACTCTCTGTTTCCATGAGTTTAACTATTTTAGATACCCTGTATAAGTGAAATCAGGCAGTACTTGTCCTCCTGTGACTGGCTTATTTCACAGAGCTTATGTCCTCCAGCTTTATCCATGCTGTCACATATGACATGATTCCTTCTTTTTAAAGGCTGACTAATATTCCTTTGTATGTGTATACCACATTTTCTTTATTCATTCGTGTGTTGATGGACATTTAGGTTATTTCCATATCTTGGCTATTATGAATACTGTTGCAGTGAATCAGAAGGTACAGATATCTCTTCAAAGTTCTCATTTCAATTCTTTTAGATATATACCCAGAAGTATGATTCCTAGATTACATAGTAGTTCTAATTTAATTGTTTGAGGAATCTCTGTCCTATTTTCCATAGCAGCTGTACCCCATTTTACATTCCTACCAACAGTGTACAAGAGTTCCAATTTCTCAACATCTTCTCCAATACTTGTTATCTTTTGATTTTTGTTTTGTAATAGCCACCCTAACAGGTGTGACGTGATATCTTATTATAGTTTTGAGTTGCATTTCCCTGATGATTAGTGATGCTGCGTGTTTTGATATATATCTGTTGGACATTTGTATGTCTTCTGTAGAGAAACCTCTCATCAAATCCTTTGTCCATTATTAAAATTGGGTTATTTGCTTTTTTGACATTGAGTTGTAGGAGGTCCTTATTTGTTTTGGATATTAACCTCTTATCAGATATATAATTTACAGATATTTTTCTCCCATTCTGTAGGTTGCCTTTTGACCATTGATTCTTTTGCAGTGCAGAAGGTTTTTAGTTTGGTATAATGCCACTTACCTTTTTTTGCTTTTGTTGCTTGTGATTTTTGGTGTCATATCCAAGAAATATTGCTGAGCCCAATGTCATAAGATTTTGTCCTATGTTTTCTCCCAGGAGTTATTCTATTTCAGTTCTTACATTTAAATATGTAATTTTTTCCATTGATATTTGTGTTTGATGTGTGTTAAGGGTCAAGTTTCATTCTTTTGCATGTAGATATCTAGCTTTCCCAACAACGCTTGTTGAAGACACTTGTTGTTTCCCCATTGTGTACCCTTGGCACCCTTGTTAAAAAATTGTGTCAGTAACATACTATTTTAATTACTATAGCTTTGTAATATATTTTGAAATCAGGAAGTCTAATGCTTTCAGCTTTCTTCTTTTTTCTCAAGATTGCTTTGGCTATTTGGTGTCTTTTGTTGTTTCATGTAAATTTTAGGTATTTTTTCTGTAAAAAAAAAAAAATGCCATTGGAATTTTGAAAGGAATTGCACTGATTCTGTAGATCACTTTAGTTTATGAACATTTTAACAATATTAAGTCTTCCAATTCATGAACATGAAATATCTTTCCATTTATTTGTGTCTATTTACATTTCTTTCATCAATGATTTGTAGTTTTCAAGTATTTCACCTTCTTGGTTAAGTTTTCTTTTTTTTTTTTTTTTTTTTTGAGATGGAGTCTCACTCTGTCCCCCAGGCTGGAGTGCCGTGCTGCAATCTTGGCTCACTGCAAACTCCACCTCCCAGGTTCACACCATTCTCCTGCCTCAGCCTCCCCAGTAGTTGGGACTACAGGTGCCTGCCACCATGCCTGGCTAATTTTTCATTTTCATATTTTTAGTAGAGACAGGGTTTCACCATATTAGCCAGGATGGTCTCATACTCCTGACCTCATGATCCGCCCACCTCGGCCTCCCAAAGTGCTGGGATTACAGGCATGAGCCACCGGGCCTGGCCCTCCTTGGTTAAGTTTATTGCCAAATATTGTATTCTTTTTGATACTCTTGAAAATAGCATTGTTTTCTCAATTTCCCTTTTGGATAGTTCATTGTTAGTGTATAGAACACAATGGATTTTTGTATGTGTATTGTGTATCTTGTAATCTTACGATATTTGTTTATTAGTTCTAACAGTTTTTTTGTGGTGTTCTTAGGGTTTTCAACATATAAGATCATGTCATCAGCAACATAATTTTAATTCCTCCCTTCCTATTTGGATACTTTAATTTCTTTTTCTTGCCTAATTGCTCTGGCTAAAGTTCAGTACAATGTTGAATGGAAACAGTAAGAATGAGCATCCTAGCCTTGTGCCTGATCTTGGAGGGAAATCTTTCAGTTTTTCATCACTGAGTGTGATGTTAGCTGGGGGATTTTCATATACGGCCTTTGTTGTATTGGGGGATTTTCATACATGACCATTGTTGTATTGAGGCAAATCCCTTCTATACCTAATTTGTTGAGAGTTTTTATCACGAAAGGCTGTTGAATTTTGTCAAATGTTTTTTCTGCATCTAGTAAGATATGAATGTGACTTTTATTCTTCAGTCTGTTAGTATGGTTTATTACATTAATTGATTTGCATATATTAAGCCATCCGTGCATCCCAGGGATAAATCCCACATAGTCCTGCTGATCCTTTTAATGTGCTGTTGAATTCAGGTTGCTAGCATTTTGTTAAGGATTTTTGCATCCATGTGCCTTAGAGATATGGGCCTGTAGTTTCTTTTCTTATAGTGTCTTGGTCTCACTTTGGTATCAGCATCATGCTTGCTGCATAAAATGAGTATTGAGATGTTCCCTTCAGTTTTGGGAAGAGTTTAAGAAGCACTTGTGCTAATTCTTCTTTAAATGTTTGGTAGAATTCACCAGCTAAGCCATCTGGTCCTAGAGTTTTCTTTGTTGCATACAACCTACCAAAATTGAATCATGAAGGAACAGAAAACTTAACCAGACCAATAGCAAATAATAAGATTGAGTCAGTAATCAAAATCTTCACAACAAAGAAAAGCCCAGACCAGATGGCTTCATTACCAACTGTATTAGCTTTCTATTGCTGTGTACCAAATTACCACTAATTTTTGGCTTAAACCAACACAGTTTACTATCTCACACCTTCTATGGGTCAGGAATTTGGTATGTTTTAGCTGAGTTGTCTGCACAGAGTCTTATAAGCCTGAAATCAAGATGTCAGCTGGGACTCTGTTATCATCTGAGGCTCAAGGTCTTTTTGTGAGTTCAATGATTGTTAGCAGAATTCTATTCCTTGTGGTTGTAGGACTTTCTTACTGACTGTCAGCCAGAGGCTGATCTCACATTCTAGAGGCCGATCTCACATTCTAGAGGCCACCCTCGGTTTCCTGCCACATAGTCCTCTCTATAACATGGTAATTTACTTTTTCAAGGCCAGTAGGGAAAGCACTTCTCTTGCTTCAAATCTCTCATGCCAGTCTGTTAAGGAGTCTTAACTAATATAATATTATCACAGGAATATTTGCACACAATAGAATCTAACTAAGGAGGTGACTATCATATTCGCAGTCCCTGCTCACACTCACTTTATTATTTTAGCATGTAGTTCATCAGGAAATAATGCAAAAGATATGAGTATTAGAAGATGGATAGAATTTTGTTAGAGGAAGAGGAAAGGGAAAAAATGTCAAGCAAGAGAACAATATAAGGTATTAGATGTTTGTTGTAGGGCTGAGAGAAGAATGCAGTTGGCATATTAAAGCTGCAAGCCAAATGAAGTAGGGTGTTTATATGGAAGATCATGAGAAGCACAACTATAATTGGAGATTGCAGTCTGATCCCGAGAGCTTTTACTACTATCCCAAGAAATATGCTCTCCAACAGAAAGTCAGATAGGAAATGATGTATGGATTTTCAGTAGAGAGAATGATACAACAAAAATATATTTTAGGGTGATAAGATAAGACAAATGAATAAAATTTAGAAATAATTATTATAGCTATAAATCATCTGATTGAGGTATAAGGTGGCAGGTATTTAGCTAACTGTGGGAGTGGAAAAAAAGGAGAAATATGAGACCATTTAAGGAAAATATGAGGCAGTTTTGTCCCTTCTATATATAATCTTTTCCAACTCACATTGTCCTTGGATTTTATAACTTTGCTGACATCTACTTTTAGCTTTATATTCTAAGAATCAGTATCAGCTTATTGCCATATATGTGAATAATTAATAATAAAAATGCCTACCACTTATTGCAGGCTATTCAATTTTCACAACAACCCTATAAAATAGGTGGTATTTTTGTCTCCATGAGAAAACTAAAAAATAGGTTGAACAACTCACACAGCTAGTTAGCATAAAGTTCTAAATTGGATTCAGGTCCTTCTCTCTCCTAAACAGCATGATATACTGCCTCTGTAAATTATTAAGTTTACTGAGCCTCTGTACACAAAGTAGTGTAAAGGTTTGTTTTATTATGATCACTGTTATTTAGTATTCTATTGTCTCAAGAAAAGTCTGATCCATAGAATGCCATCCAGAGGAGGGTCAAAGCATAAAGAAATATCTACTTACTAAATTGAGATTAAAAATAAAGATAATTATCCTAATAATTTAATTTTAAAATTGTTTTTAAAAATAGACATATTAAAATGTATGTCTTTATCATGTACAATATGATGCCTGAAGTATAAAATATTGTGGAATGGTTCAATCGAGCTAACTAACAAATGTGTTAGCACACCTAGTTTTTTTGTGGTGAGAACACTTAAAAGTCATTCTCAGAATTTTTTTAAGAATACAGTACATGTAGGGAGGAGGAGCCAAGATGGCTGAATAGGAACAGCTCCGGTCTACAGCTCCCAGCGTGAGCGACGCAGAAGACGGGTGATTTCTGCATTTCCATCTGAGGTACCGGGTTCATCTCACTAGGGAGTGCCAGACAGTGGGCGCAGGCCAGTGGGTGCGCGCACAGTGCGCGAGCCAAAGCAGGGCGAGGCATTGCCTCACCTGGGAAGCGCAAGGGGTCAGGGAGTTCCCTTTCCGAGTCAAAGAAAGGGGTGACGGACGCACCTGGAAAATCGGGTCACTCCCATCCGAATATTGCGCTTTTCAGACCGGCTTAAGAAACGGCACACCACGAGACTATATCCCACACCTGGCTCAGAGGGTCCTACGCCCACGGAATCTCACTGATTGCTAGCACAGCAGTCTGAGATCAAACTGCAAGGCGGCAACGAGGCTGGGGGAGGGGCGCCCGCCATTGCCCAGGCTTGCTTAGGTAAACAAAGCAGCCAGGAAGCTCGAACTGGGTGGAGCCCACCACAGCTCAAGGAGGCCTGCCTGCCTCTGTAGGCTCCACCTCTGGGGGCAGGACACAGACAAACAAAAAGACAGCAGTAACCTCTGCAGACTTAAGTGTCCCTGTCTGACAGCTTTGAAGAGAGCAGTGGTTCTCCCAGCACGCAGCTGGAGATCTGAGAATGGGCAGACTGCCTCCTCAAGTGGGTCCCTGACCCCTGACCCCCGAGCAGCCTAACTGGGAGGCACCCCCCCAGCAGGGGCACACTGACACCTCACACGGCAGGGTATTCCAACAGACCTGCAGCTGAGGGTCCTGTCTGTTAGAAGGAAAACTAACAACCAGAAAGGACATCTACACCGAAAACCCATCTGTACATCACCATCATCAAAGACCAATAGTAGATAAAACCACAAAGATGGGGAAAAAACAGAACAGAAAAACTGGAAACTCTAAAACGCAGAGCATCTCTCCTCCTCCAAAGGAACGCAGTTCCTCACCAGCAACAGAACAAAGCTGGATGGAGAATGATTTTGACGAGCTGAGAGAAGAAGGCTTCAGACGATCAAATTACTCTGAGCTACGGGAGGACATTCAAACCAAAGGCAAAGAAGTTGAAAACTTTGAAAAAAATTTAGAAGAATGTATAACTAGAATAACCAATACAGAGAAGTGCTTAAAGGAGCTGATGGAGCTGAAAACCAAGGCTCGAGAACTACGTGAAGAATGCAGAAGCCTCAGGAGCCAATGCGATCAACTGGAAGAAAGGGTATCAGCAATGGAAGATGAAATGAATGAAATGAAGCGAGAAGGGAAGTTTAGAGAAAAAAGAATAAAAAGAAATGAGCAAAGCCTCCAAGAAATATGGGACTATGTGAAAAGACCAAATCTACGTCTGATTGGTGTACCTGAAAGTGATGTGGAGAATGGAACCAAGTTGGAAAACACTCTGCAGGATATTATCCAGGAGAACTTCCCCAATCTAGCAAGGCAGGCCAACGTTCAGATTCAGGAAATACAGAGAACGCCACAAAGATACTCCTCGAGAAGAGCAACTCCAAGACACATAATTGTCAGATTCACCAAAGTTGAAATGAAGGAAAAAATGTTAAGGGCAGCCAGAGAGAAAGGTCGGGTTGCCCTCAAAGGAAAGCCCATCAGACTAACAGCGGATCTCTCGGCAGAAACCCTACAAGCCAGAAGAGAGTGGGGGCCAATATTCAACATTCTTAAAGAAAAGAATTTTCAACCCAGAATTTCATATCCAGCCAAACTAAGCTTCATAAGTGAAGGAGAAATAAAATACTTTATAGACAAGCAAATGCTGAGAGATTTTGTCACCACCAGGCCTGCCCTAAAAGAGCTCCTGAAGGAAGCGCTAAACATGGAAAGGAACAACCGGTACCAGCCGCTGCAAAATCATGCCAAAATGTAAAGACCATCGAGACTAGGAATAAACTGCATCAACTAATGAGCAAAATCACCAGCTAACATCATAATGACAGGATCAAATTCACACATAACAATATTAACTTTAAATATAAATGGACTAAATTCTGCAATTAAAAGACACAGACTGGCAAGTTGGATAAAGAGTCAAGACCCATCAGTGTGCTGTATTCAGGAAACCCATCTCACGTGCAGAGACACACATAGACTCAAAATAAAAGGATGGAGGAAGATCTACCAAGCCAATGGAAAACAAAAAAAGGCAGGGGTTGCAATCCTAGTCTCTGATAAAACAGACTTTAAACCAACAAAGATCAAAAGAGACAAAGAAGGCCATTACATAATGGTAAAGGGATCAATACAACAAGAGGAGCTAACTATCCTAAATATTTATGCACCCAATACAGGAGCACCCAGATTCATAAAGCAAGTCCTGAGTGACCTACAAAGAGACTTAGACTCCCACACATTAATAATGGGAGACTTTAACACCCCACTGTCAACATTAGACAGATCAACGAGACAGAAAGTCAACAAGGATACCCAGGAATTGAACTCAGCTCTGCACCAAGCAGACCTAATAGACATCTACAGAACTCTCCACCCCAAATCAACAGAATATACATTTTTTTCAGCACCACACCACACTTATTCCAAAATTGACCACATAGTTGGAAGTAAAGCTCTCCTCAGCAAATGTAAAAGAACAGAAATTATAACAAACTATCTCTCAGACCACAGTGCAATCAAACTAGAACTCAGGATTAAGAATCTCACTCAAAGCCACTCAACTACATGGAAACTGAACAACCTGCTCCTGAATGACTACTGGGTACATAACGAAATGAAGGCAGAAATAAAGATGTTCTTTGAAACCAACGAGAACAAAGACACCACATACCAGAATCTCTGGGACTCATTCAAAGCAGTGTGTAGAGGGAAATTTATAGCACTAAATGCCCACAAGAGAAAGCAGGAAAGATCCAAAATTGACACCCTAACATCACAATTAAAAGAACTAGAAAAGCAAGAGCAAACACATTCAAAAGCTAGCAGAAGGCAAGAAATAACTAAAATCAGAGCAGAACTGAAGGAAATAGAGACACAAAAAACCCTTCAAAAAATCAATGAATCCAGGAGCTGGTTTTTTGAAAGGATCAACAAAATTGATGGACCGCTAGCAAGACTAATAAAGAAAAAAAGAGAGAAGAATCAAATAGACACAATAAAAAATGATAAAGGGGATATCACCACTGATCCCACAGAAATACAAACTACCATCAGAGAATACTACAAACACCTCTACGCAAATAAACTAGAAAATCTAGAAGAAATGGATACATTCCTCGACACATACACTCTCCCAAGACTAAACCAGGAAGAAGTTGAATCTCTGAATAGACCAATAACAGGCTCTGAAATTGTGGCAATAATCAATAGTTTACCAACCAAAAAGAGTCCAGGACCAGATGGATTCACAGCCGAATTCTACCAGAGGTACAAGGAGGAACTGGTACCATTCCTCCTGAAACTATTCCAATCAATAGAAAAAGAGGGAATCCTCCCTAACTCATTTTATGAGGCCAGCATCATTCTGATACCAAAGCCGGGCAGAGACACAACCAAAAAAGAGAATTTTAGACCAATATCCTTGATGAACATTGATGCAAAAATCCTCAATAAAATACTGGCAAACCGAATCCAGCAGCACATCAAAAAGCTTATCCACCATGATCAAGTGGGCTTCATCCCTGGGATGCAAGGCTGGTTCAATATACGCAAATCAATAAATGTAATCCAGCATATAAACAGAGCCAAAGACAAAAACCACATGATTATCTCAATAGATGCAGAAAAAGCCTTTGACAAAATTCAACAACCCTTCATGCTAAAAACTCTCAATAAATTAGGTATTGATGGGACGTATTTCAAAATAATAAGAGCTATCTATGACAAACCCACAGCCAATATCATACTGAATGGGCAAAAACTGGAAGCATTCCCTTTGAAAACTGGCACAAGACAGGGATGCCCTCTCTCACCACTACTATTCAACATAGTGTTGGAAGTTCTGGCCAGGGCAATCAGGCAGGAGAAGGAAATAAAGGGTATTCAATTAGGAAAAGAGGAAGTCAAATTGTCCCTGTTTGCAGACGACATGATTGTTTATCTAGAAAACCCCATCGTCTCAGCCCAAAATCTCCTTAAGCTGATAAGCAACTTCAGCAAAGTCTCAGGATACAAAATCAATGTACAAAAATCACAAGCATTCTTATACACCAACAACAGACAAACAGAGAGCCAAATCATGAGTGAACTCCCATTCACAATTGCTTCAAAGAGAATAAAATACCTAGGAATCCAACTTACATGGGATGTGAAGGACCTCTTCAAGGAGAACTACAAACCACTGCTCAAGGAAATAAAAGAGGACACAAACAAATGGAAGAACATTCCATGCTCATGGGTAGGAAGAATCAATATCGTGAAAATGCCCAAGGTAATTTACAGATTCAATGCCATCCCCATCAAGCTACCAATGACTTTCTTCACAGAATTGGAAAAAACTACTTTAAAGTTCATATGGAACCAAAAAAGAGCCCGCATCGCCAAGTCAATCCTAAGCCAAAAGAACAAAGCTGGAGGCATCACACTACCTGACTTCAAACTATACTACAAGGCTACAGTAACCAAAACAGCATGGTACTGGTACCAAAACAGAGATATAGATCAATGGAACAGAACAGAGCCCTCAGAAATAATGCCACATATCTACAACTATCTGATCTTTGACAAACCTGAGAAAAACAAGCAATGGGGAAAGGATTCCCTATTTAATAAATGGTGCTGGGAAAACTGGCTAGCCATATGTAGAAAGCTGAAACTGGATCCCTTCCTTACACCTTATACAAAAATCAATTCAAGATGGATTAAAGATTTAAACGTTAGACCTAAAACCATAAAAACCCTAGAAGAAAACCTAGGCATTACCATTCAGGACATAGGCGTGGGCAAGGACTTCATGTCCAAAACACCAAAAGCAATTGCAACAAAAGCCAAAATTGACAAATGGGATCTAATTAAACTAAAGAGCTTCTGCACAGCAAAAGAAACTACCATCAGAGTGAACAGGCAACCTACAACATGGGAAAAAATTTTCGCAACCTACTCATCTGACAAAGGGCTAATATCCAGAATCTACAATGAACTCAAACAAATTTACAAGAAAAAAACAAACAACCCCATCAAAAAGTGGGCAAAGGACATGAACAGACACTTCTCAAAAGAAGACATTTATGCAGCCAAAAAACACATGAAGAAATGCTCATCATCACTGGCCATCAGAGAAATGCAAATCAAAACCACTATGAGATATCATCTCACACCAGTTAGAATGGCAATCATTAAAAAGTCAGGAAACAACAGGTGCTGGAGAGGATGTGGAGAAATAGGAACACTTTTCCACTGTTGGTGGGACTGTAAACTAGTTCAACCATTGTGGAAGTCAGTGTGGCGATTCCTCAGGGATCTAGAACTAGAAATACCATTTGACCCAGCTATCCCATTACTGGGTATATACCCAAAGGACTATAAATCATGCTGCTATAAAGAAACATGCACACGTATGTTTATTGCGGCACTATTCACAATAGCAAAGACTTGGAACCAACCCAAATGTCCAACAATGATAGACTGAATTAAGAAAATGTGGCACATATACACCATGGAATACTATGCAGCCATAAAAAATGATGAGTTCATGTCCTTTGTAGGGACATGGATGAAATTGGAAACCATCATTCTCAGTAAACTATCGCAAGAACAAAAAACCAAACACCGCATATTCTCACTCATAGGTGGGAATTGAACAATGAGAACACTTGGACACAGGAAGGGGAATATCACACTCTGGGGACTGTGGTGGGGTCGGGGGAGGGGGGAGGGATAGCATTGGGAGATATACCTAATGCTAGATGACACGTTAGTGGGTGCAGCGCACCAGCATGGCACATGTATACATATGTAACCTGCACAATGTGCACATGTACCCTAAAACTTAGAGTATAATAAAAAAATAAAAAAAAAAGAAAAGAAAAAAAAAAAGAATACAGTACATTAACTACAGTCATCCTGCTATACAATAGATCACTGGAACTTACTCCTGCTATCTAACTGTAAATATGTATTCTTTGACCAACATCTCCCCAACCCCCAATTACTTCAGCCTCTGGAAACCACCATTCTATTCTCTATTCTGTGAGGTCAGCTTTTTTAGATTACACATGAGTGAGATCTTGCGGTATTTGTCTTTCTGTACCTAGCTTATTTCACTTAACACAATGTCCTCCAGACTCATCCATGTCATTGCAAATGGCAGAATTTTCCCCTTTTTTGGCTAAACAGTATTATATTATGTATATACGCCACATTTTTTAAATCCATTTATCTGCTGGTGGACACTTGAGTTGCTTCCATATCTTGGCTATTGTGAATAGTGCGGCAATAAACTTGGAAGTGTAGATGTCTCTTTAACATACTAATTTCATTTCCTTTGGATGTTCACCCAGTAGGAGTATTATTGGATCATACTTTTAATTTTTTCAGGGACCTCATGCTGTTCTCCATAATGACTATACTCATTTACATTCTCCAAAAAGGTGTGCAAGGGTTCTCTTTTCTCCACATATTTGCCAATGCTTGTTATCTTTAGATAATAGCCATTCTAACAGGGGTGAGATGATATCTCATGGTGGTTTCGATTTTCATTTCCCTAATGATTAGTAACGTTGAGCATTTTTTCATATACCTGTTGGCCATTTATATGTCTTCTTTTGAGAAATGTCTATTGAGGTCTTTTTCCTACTTTTTAATCACGTCATTTGTTTTCTTGCTGTTGAATTGTTTGAGTTGCTTATATATTTTGGATATTAACCCCTTATCAGATATATGGTGTACAAATATATTTTCTTATTCTGTAGGTTGCCTCTTCACTCTGTTGATTGTTTCCTTTGCAGAAGCTTTTGGTTCAACATAATCCCATTTGTTTATTTTTGTTTTTATTGCCTGTGATTTTGAGGTCATATCCAGAAATTCATTTCCCAGACCAATTTCATGGAGCTTTTCCCCTGTATTTTCTTCTGATAGTCTAATAGTGTTGGGCCTTCTGTCTATTCTGAGTTTATTTTTTATATGATGAAAGATAAAGGTCTAATTTCATTCCTCTGCATATAGATGTCTAGTTTTCCCAGCACTATTTATTGAAGAGATTGTCCTTTCCCCATTGTATTTTCTTGGCAACTTTGTCATAAATCAGTTGGCCATAGGTGCCTGGATTCATTTCTGGGATCTCTTTGCTGTTCCATTGGTCCATGTGTCCATTTTTATGCCAGCGTGTTATGCTGTTTTGGTTACAGTAGCTTTGGAGTGTATTTTGAAATCGGGTAGTGTGATGGCTCCAGATTTGTTACTTTTCCTCAAGACTACTTTGACCCTTCAGGGTCTTGTGTGGATCTGTACAAATTTTAGGATTGTTTTTTCTATTTTTTCAAAGAATGCCATTTTGATAGGAACTGCATTGAATCTGTAAATTGATTTGAGTACTATGGACATTTTAACAGCATTAATTATTCCAGTTTATGAACACGGTATATCTTTCCATGTATAAGTGTGTTCTTCAATTTCTTTCATCAGTGTTTTATTGTTTTCAGTGTGGAGAGATAGTTCACTTCCTTGGATACATTTATTTCTAAGTATTATATTTTCTTTTTAGCTATTGTAAATGGATTGTTTTCTTTATTTCTTTTTCAGATCGATCGCTGTTAGTATATTGAAATGCTAATCCTGCACCTTTACTGAATTTATTAGTTCTAACAGTTTTTTGGTGGAGTCTTTAGGGTTTTCAATATGTAAGGTCATGTCATCTGCAAATAGGAACAATTTAACTTCTTCCTTTCCAATCTGGATTTCTTTTATTTCTTTCTCTTGCCTAACTCTGCTGGTCAGGACTTTCAGTATGATGTTGAATAGAAGTGGAGAATGGGCATCCTTGTCTTGTTCCAGAAAAGCTGTAAACTTTTTCCCATTCAGTATGATGTTAGCAGTGGGTTTGTCATATATGTTCTGCATTATTCTGTGATACATTCCTTCTATGTCTAATTTGTTTTAAGTATTTTTATGAAGGGATGTTGAATTGTGTCGGATGTTTTTTTCTGCATCTATCAAAGTGATCATATATATGGTTTTCATCCTTTATTTTGTTAATGCGACTTATCACATTTATTGATTTGTGTATGTTGAACCATCCTTACATTCCTGGGATGATTCTAACTTAACCATGGTGAATAATCTTTTCAATGTGCAGTTGAATTCAGTTTGCTAGTATTTTGATGAGGATTTTTGTATCTCTGTTTATCAGGGATATTGGCCTGTAGTTTTGTAGTTGTTGCTGAATCTTTGTCTAGTGTTGGTATCGGGATAATGCTGGCCTTGTAATATGAGTTTAGAAGTAGTCTCTCCCTTTAATTTCTCTAAAGAGTTTGAAAAGAATTTGGTATTAGATCTTTTTTAAATTTTTGGTAGAATTCAGCATTGAGGCCATCAGGTCCTGGGCTTTCGTTTGATGGGAGACTTTCTATTACTGATTCAATCTCCTTACTCATTATTGTTCTGTCTAGTTTTTCTATTTCTTTGTAATTCAATATTAGTAGGTTGTACAGAAATTTATCCACTTCTCCTAGGTTTTCTAATTTGCTGGCATTATTATTCATAATATTCTCTAATGATCCTTTTTATTTCTGTGGTATCAGTTGTAATGTATCTTTATTCATCTGTGATTTTATTTGAATCTTCTCTTCTTTTTTCTCAACCTAGCTAATGATTTTTCCATTTTATCTTTTAAAAAGCACTCTTGGCCAGGTGCAGTGGCTCACACCTGTAGTCCCAGCACTCTGGGAGCCCAAGGCAGGTGGATCACTTGAGCCCAGGAGTTTGAGACCAGCCTGGCCAACATGGCAAAACTTCATCTCTGCTAAAAATACAGAAAAATTAGACAAGCGTGGTGGCATGTGCCTGTAGTCCCAGCTACTCATGAGGCTGAGATGGGAGAATCACCTGAAGTCAAGGCTGCAATGAGCTGTGATCATGATCATGCCACTCCAGTCTGGGTGATGGGAGTGAGACCCAGTCTCAGAAAAATAAAAAATAAATAAAAATTTAAAAACCAACTCTTCATTTTGATATTTTCCATTATTTTCCTAGTCTCTATTTCATTTATTTCTGCTCTAATCTTTATTATTTCTTTCCTTCTACTAAATTTGGGCTTAGTTTTGTCTTATTTTTCTAGCTCCTTAAAATATAATGTTAGATTGGTTGAGAGCCTTCTTTTTGATATAGCTGTTTATTACTATAAACTTCCCTCTGAGAATTGCTTTTGCTATATCCTATGGGCTTTGTTGTGGTATATTTCAATTTTTATTTGTCTCAATAAATTTTATAATTTCCATGTATTTGTGACTTTTCCAAAATCCCCCTGTTATTTATTTCTAGTTTTATACTATTATATTTAGAAAAGATACTTGATATGATTTCAATCTTCATAAAATTTTATAAACTTATTTTGTGGCTGAACATATAATCTATTTTGGAGGAAGTTCCACATGCAGTGGAGAGCAATGTGTATTCTGCAGCTGTTGGATGAAATGTTTTGTATGTGACCATGATGTTCACTAGGCCTAAAATATAGTTTAAGTCTGATGTTTCTTTGTTGATTTTCTAAATAATTTATCCATTGCTGAAACAATAGGTGTTCGAGTTGCCTACTATAATTACTTTGCGATCTGTCTCTCTCTTCTGATCTATTAATATTTGCCTTATGTATTTAGATGCTCTCATGTTGGGTGCATATATCTTTATAATTGTTATAACCTCTAACTAAATTTACCCTTTTATCAAAACATAATGATCATTTTTGTCTCCTTTCACAATTTTGACTTAAATTCTATTTCATCTGATTTAAGTATAACTATTCTTGCCTTCTTTTGATTTGTGTTTTCATGGAATATCTTTTTCCATCCCTTCACTTTCAATTTACATGTGTCCTTACAAGTGAACTGAGTCTCATTCTCTTCTAGGCAAAAAATGGTTAGGTCTTTTAAAAAAAAATTGATTCAGCCACTCTTTTAATTGGAGAATTTAATCAAGTTACATTCAAGGTAATTATTGATAGGCAAGGACATACTCTTGCCATTTTGTTAACTGTTTTCTGGTTGTTTTGTAGATTCTTTATTCCTTTTTTCCTCTTTTATTATCTTTCTTTTTAGTTAAGTGATTTTCTCTGTAGTGTGTTTTGATTTCTTGCTTTTTATTTTTTGTGTATCTATTATAGGTTTTACTTTGCACTTACCATGAGGCTTACAAAAAACATCTTATAGTTATAACAGGTTACTTTAAGCTGATAAAAAGTTAACTTTGATTGCAAAAACAAAAACAAAACTCTACACTTCACTCTACCCCCACATTTTGACTCTGTTATGCCACAGTTTATAACATTTTATATTTCACATCCCTTGACAACTTACTGTCATCATTATTTTTAATAATTCTGTCCTTTAACTTTTATACTAAATATGTGATTTACATGCCATCATTAAAATATTAGACTATTCCAAATATTACCAGTGTACTTACTTTTACCAGTAAGTTTTACACTTTCATATGTTTTTGTGTTTCTCAATAGCATTTTTTTCTTTCAGTGTGAGGAACTCCCTTTAGCATTTCTTGTAAGATAGGTCTGGGGTGATAAATCTCCCAGCTTTTGTTTGTCTGAGAAAGTCTTTACCTGTCCTTCATTTCTGAAGGACAGCACTGCAGTATTTTTGGTTGGCAGAGTTGTCTTCTTTCAGTGCTTTGAATGTATCATCCCACTTCCTCTTGGCCTGTAAGATTTCTGTTGAGTGTTTACTGCTAAATACATTAACATTCTCTCATAAGTTATTTGCTTCCTTTCTCTTTCTGCTTTCAGAATCCTCTCTTTGTCTTTGATATTTGATGGTTTGATTATAATATGTGTTGGGGTAGTCTTATTTAGATTGAATTTGATTGGTGCCTGTTAACCTCCCTGTACCAGATATTTATATCTTTCTTCAGGTTTAGAAGGTTTTCTGCTATTATTTCCTTAAATAAGCTTTCTACTCCTTTGTCTTTCTCTATTGCCTCTTAAATTCCAAAGACAAATATTTGCTCCTTTGATGCTATCTCATAAATCCTGTAAGCTTTCTTTATTCTTTTTTTCTTTTTGCGCCTTTGATTGGATAATTTCAAATGTCCTGTCTTGAGCTCACCGATTCTTTCTTCTGCTTGATCAAGTCTCCATTGAATTTTTCTATTGAATTTTTCAGTTCAGTTGTTGTGTTTTATATCTCTAAGATTTCTATTTGGTTTTTAAAAATTGTTTCTATTTCTTTGTCAAACTTTGCATTTTGTTCATGAATTGTTTTCCAAATTGTATTTAATTTTCTATCTCTATCTTCACGTAGTTACCTGAATTTCTTTAAAGGGATTATTCTCAATTCTTTATCAGTCACTTCTTAGAGAGCCTTTATTCCTGGGTTCCTTACTAGAGCTTCATTTTTTTTTTTTTTTTTTTTTTGGCGATGGTGTTATATTTCCCTGATTTGTCATAATTTTCTTGTGTCCTTAAATTGATGCCTGCATATTTAAAGAGGTGACCACCTCTTCCAGCCTTTGCAGCTGCTGTTTGGTGGTAATAGGCCTTTACTATTTAGTCTAGCCTGGGATTCTGTATGTGCTGGCTAACTGCAACCCCGAACAGGCAGGCCTTGGTGTGGGATTCTCTAGTTGAGCTGGGTCACTTCCTGTGTGGAGGATAAATGGTATTGCTAGCTGTGCTCTGTGGTCTGGTGAGACCACTGGCTGAACTCTACCATCAGGTGTAATTGGGCCAGGTTATGGGTTGTCTTTCCTGGCTGGGTGGTACTGTGTTTTGGAATCTCTGCTGTGTTGCCTGCGGCATGATGCTGTTGGCTAGTTTCTCTGCTGTGGTGCCTTCTTTGGTTGGAATGCAGAGCAGCTACCAAGATCCATGCACTGATTCTTATGGAGCCTTACCCACCTTCCGTGGCTCCAACTGACCCCAGGTGGTCCAGCCCTGCTGGCACTCCCAATATTTCTCACATGATGAGACAGGAGCAAGTCTCCAGCAAAGGGTCTCAGAACGGTACAGATGCTGAATGTTCACCTCCAATTCATCCCTCACACTGCAGAAGCTGTGGACCCAGGAGAATTTTCTGCATGTGGTGCCATGCCAGTCTGGAAAAGGGGGACTGCAGTCAAAGAAAACTGATTCTCTTACCATTCACTCATGGCATTTTTAGATTCTGTGGTCCAAAGAAGTGTATCAGCCTCACTCCTGAATTCTGGGATATTCAAGATGGAATTCTTGCCTGTGCATAATTGCTAATTGGATTTCTTTTGCGGGCAAGGAATGAAGCCAGAGAACTCCATGTTGCTGACATAACTCCCTGTTATTCCTAATGATTTTAACTTACAATATCTTAATTATATTACAGAAGTTTGTGAGAGGATGTTCACAAAATACCAAGCAAAATTCATGACTCATGGCTATTTCTCAATAAATATCAATTTGCTTTCTTTTTTTCATTCTCTTCTACTCATTACTCCTCCCCTACACTAATAAATTAAAATACAGGGATCAGTCAGTTTAATACTGTTTTAAGGAGGACTACATGTTATTTGGAGAGAAGGGCAATAAGTCCACCAAATTCACATGACCCCAAGAGGCTACAAGAAAGGAACCACAGGGAGATTGTATACTTTTTAAGAAAGAGAAGGGAATTGACAAAGATGAGGTCTGGGGGGAAAGAAAGCTTACGGAAAGAAAAGAAAATGCATGGGCTCATTGTCAATGTCTTTCATAGTTACCTTAGAGTATGAAACAATCTGTGGTTTGATTTATCCAGATAATTACATTGGTTCTGCATTTGACATATCAGAGGACTAAAAGTTGTGGTTCTGCTGCAGACCAAATGCCCTTTGGAAAGTGACTTTTCTCCCCATATGAACTGAATAGTGGCAGTTCAGCCTCAACCACAGCTGAACGTGACCCCTCTGCTCTCCCACTAGCTAGCAAGTTCAAACTTAGCCTCTGGGCCTCATAAATCCAGGCATGTATCAGTTCATCTCCAAACACTTGGTATGTCTGCCCCATCAATTAAAAAGCACAAGGCAAGTGAGCCACTAGAAAGTTCAAGCATGATTAGGCAGCTACCGTGCATTTTCAAATCCACTTTCAACATCTCCATTATTTTAACTAAGACCTCTAGTTATTAGTCTTATTAAAAGAGAAGAAAGAAGAAGAAAAAGAAGACACAAACTTGCTTTCCAGACAGGTTAATACAAGCCCTTCCTCAGTGTTCTATTCTTGATTTAAGGAACATTCTCAGAGTGAGAGAAGAGTTTTGTGTTGTATGGAAAATTTGACTCAACCCAAAAACCCAGCCAACACCACAAAGTGGATTGGAGTCAAATCAGATAAATAGTAAAAGAAAAGAATACAAAATATCTTTGAGTGACAGTGTCAAAAAGGTTCAAAAGCTTATTAGAATCTGGTTCAAAATGCACAGACCACAAGTTAGCTTCATCCTATCAAGGTGCTTTTAGTTATTGATTAAGTGATTTTTTCATTCCTGTGCACATAGACATGTAATTAAATGTTCACAAACATATACATTCCTCTCGGTTTTGGTTTCTGTAACTACCAAAAATAATGTTTGAGAAATCTCCCAAACCTCCCAGTGTATTATTCATGTAACCTGGATATCTCATGAAAACAAAATGTACAAGACTGTAGTGCCAGTTAGCATGTGAAAATATCCGGCAACAGTGTGTTTTTACTTCTGTGATAAACTGTATTGTCTTTTTGTTATAATGGGAAAGGATTAGTAAAGCTTACCAAATAAACAGCAGCTTCCTTAGAGACATTGACCCTTGTATTTTACAAAACCAAGAAACCAATACTGAATAGAATATGGGGCTCTCTGGCAGACTAACGGAGGGCAACCTTCAAGGATCTGAGTCAGATGAGGATTTGGGCTAGTGATACATTTTGATACTTTCTATTTTAAGCACCCCAAAAGCTAGATGCTTATACACAGCTAATCCAATTTTTTCTAAAAATCTGTAGTCTGCAAAATTGTGTTCCTTTAGAACTTTTTGCCTGTTTTTGGCCTGGAAATGATAATATTTAAATAATACATCTTGAAATGCAGAGGTCCACCCAAAGGAAAAATAACATAAAAGAAAGTGAACCAGACACTTTCAGGCCTCAAAAAAGGTCTTACTCGGCTTAGCGAGTGCTTTGGGTGAAGGCTCAGAGGGTCGGGGGGCCAAAACAAGCCTGGTATTTTTCAAACAAAAATTTTACTGTATATTGTACAAGTAAAGGAAATGAGAAGAGATAAAAGCACACGCAGTTTAGAATTTAACTTTTTGGGGTGGAAACTTGAAAGCACTTAAGAAGTGGAATCTAGACATTTTCAAATACACGTCAGCTCTTGTGCTGTCTGAGCTTACATTACCTGTTTGAATTAAGATCAAGACCTGGGTTACCAAATAGTAATGCCCTTTTCAGCAAAGTCCACATTTGAATCAGCTTTTCTGTATCACTCTCTTGAGTAGCCTGCTTTCTTGAACACTGAAGTCTGGTCTGAGCTCCTGAAATCAACATCTCAATGCATTAATCCAGAAAACCTATAATTGATGCCGACACAGGGTTATCATCAGGTGATAAGCCTTCCACCTTACTTTCTTCCATCTTTCATAATGAGGAAGTTCTTGCTTCCAAGATAATTAAAGGACGGCTGATTTATAAGTGGGTTTGCTATGCCACTTTTTTCTTTATATGGTTTCTTTTCAGTTTCTCTTCTGTTAATAACTGGCTTAACACTTTTATATAATAAAAAGGTCAGATAGGCTCCACACAAAGCACCCATAACAGCTGGCAGCCTATCCCACTGCTATTAGCCGTCATTTAGCTGAGCAGAAATGTTGGAGCATGTAGGAACAAAGAGACAATGGAGCATTTCTAGAAGCACATCAGTGCCAGAGCAAAGAAAAAAAGAGGGGCCCTAAAAGGCAAAGTAGAAGGTGAGTCGAACTGCCTAGACACAACGGCAGGATGATTCCCTTTGAAGTAGGTAGCTGGCTTCCTTGCAATACCAGGAGATTATCCTGAAAAAAAATAATGCTTTGGTGGAGGTAAAACCATGCAGTTATGGAGGTCAGATCCAAGCAATGTGAAGAACAGACAAGCATGGCGTATCCACTCACTGCTATTTTCCAGAATCTATATACAGTTAACTAAGGCCTATAATGGTCCAATTAATTTTTAAGGAACCCAGTATGAAAGCAAAAACCATAGTCACTTGAAATGTATATACATGTTCTAGTTTCCCACGATTTTTATTATATAATATTTGGTTGAACTATAAGAAATTGCCAATATTTCAATATTTTGGGCCTACGGAAAAGGCAATTTCATATGGTTCTATTTATGTTTATAAATAGAATGGTGTAAATATTTTCTTTGGATTTGAAAATCAGTCTCATTCTGTGGATTTTTCAGATTTGGTGCATTTAAAAGCTGAACACTAAAATATTTGTGTTTCTCCTTTTCCTAGGGTATCTCCATCTCTTCCCCATTTTCATGGATATCAAGTGTTTCATAGATATCTGGCTCCACATGCCAAGTTGTGGGAAGATTTAACTCCCAACTTAATATGAAATCAAGGATGCAATTTCTGATTAAGCCAGTAAATTTTGCACAGGAAATACTCCTTGTTCTACAGCTACATCCTGTGTATCTCATGCTAGCCTTTGCCAGCAAATATTAGTCCTTGGTTTTAAGAAAGATTCAGGGGAAAAAATTGCTCAACTCTGGAAAAATAAAAACAAGAGTCCTCCTGGGGTCAGAGAAAATTGATTTGATTTATTCTGCAACAACTTCTTACTAGACAGCGGAGAGAAGAGTGCAAGAATCTCTGGGTCAGAAGACCTCACTTAATCTCTCAAGGTCTCAGTGCCCTTATGAGGAGTTGAACCACATGATTAATAAGTTTTTGACTCCTGTATTTATGATTTTTAACACTCATGGAATTGTTAGGGTGGCCTAATGGGTAAACATAAATCTTGCCACGTATAATCTGCCTGACTTTGCCCCAAACTTTTAAAAGCACATGAATATGAGCCAATAAATCTAAATTATAGTATACTGCACATTTGCTGTGAGAAATTTCCTATTATCACTGCCTTTATGTAAATGATTGCTCATAATGTTAGTAGACAAACCACTTAATAATTTCCAGGCCAGTGAACTTTTGCCCCACTTCAAAATAAAGTTGTTATTCTCCTTTCAATAGAAGCTTAGGATACGTCAAGCCTAATGAGAGTAAGTTAGTAGGAAAAAAAGGCTATGTCATCTGTAGAGGTGATAACAAGATCAGATCAAGTGGTTCCAAGTGTTTTATTTTCTACCACATGCCTTCATATGAGTTCATCTCAATGAATACTGTTTGAGTGGTCAGAGAGCTACCATAAAGATGCTCTATCTAAGACCGTATGAAGAATTTTTTTTAAGAATAAAGTTCATGGTAACTTTAAGGTAACATTCTCAGGGGGGAAAACATTTCCAAATATCTGTATTGCAAACTGCCAAGAACAGGGATCCAGTCTTGATCCCTCCGCTGATATGCTCTGGGACTGGAAACAAGTCAATTTCTCCCTCCCTCAAGGTCTTAAAATTAATGTTTTATCTGGATCACCTATGTTGTAGTAATCAGGGTTTCCCAAGAATAAAATGGAATTATATGGCATCTTAGATTCCTTCCAAAGGTGGTGTCACTGTTTCTTTCTCCTTAATTAGGTGATGATATTGCCAACATCTCCCCAAGGCATCATATTTATTCCAGCAAGTTCTTATTTAGAAAGCTCATATTACAATTATTCTGTACACTTTATCTGGATTGGCAAATTTAAGTCCCCATCCACTAATTTATGCTTTATTAAAACTGATTCAGTTGAGGGAGCATATCTGACAGTACTGCAACCAAATTCTGTAAAGGCAAACTACAAATTAAAGGCCATATCAAATCCCATGTATAAGAAGTAAATATGTATGTGTGGCTATATGAGTCTGTACATGTGTGTACAAACGCAGGGTGGTAACTATAGTGTGAAGCAGTAATGCCCTCCAGGACCATGATGCTGATCAGGACAACTTTATTCTAGTATGAGTATGTTCAGTGGTGGCTCCAATGTGGCTAATGCTAAGGTGAAGTTCATGCCAGCACAGGGCCGATTGTTTCATTTCCTGTCTCAATGGCAGCCTGTTGCAGTGAGGCAGAGAAAAGTGTGCCTCATCCTCAAAAGTTTGGAAGATGCATTAAAAATTGGATAGGAAGAGCCAGGATGGAAAGATGAAAGAACTGAGAAATGGGTCAAAAATAAAATGTCAGCAACCATTCTTGAAATGAAAAAAGGATGACTGTGGAAGGGGAAGAAAGGAGTTCAGGGAGCATGAAGGAGGGGTAAAGGAGTGATAAAAGGAAAATACATGTAAGCAAAAATGAGAAGGTAAAAAGTGAATTATTAAGGAAAGAAGATGATACATACAAGGACAGATTAATGAATGAAAAAAATCATATACCTTCTAAGCCTGCAAATATGAATTTTGCTAACCTTGGATGCCATAAATAGGAATTCCAACAACCTCAACAGTCCAAATTGGCGATTTCACTTAGTCATTTTTTTCTACAGTACCAAAATAGCAATTTATTCGGACCTAATAGAAGATCTTGCTGATGTAGTAGTTGAGCTTGGTAGGTGGTATTCTTCTGGTAAGACATGAAGATTATCCTAGATGAGTAGTAAAGCATCTTCTAGAAATGTCCAGACCAGAGAGAGACCTTAGAAACAAAGGGAGTCACTATCACTCTCCATTGTTTTGGCCTTGAATTCAACTTCTCTATCACCAAAAATGATTGGACTCGAGGCCCTATTTCAGGGACTGAGTTTAGTCAGAATGTTTTCTCAATTAGCAAAAAATGCAGTGTCTGACAGCTAGTCCCTTGCAGACTACACACCTCAACAGCGTGATTTAAAGGCAAAAGAAAGTTCCAACCACCAAAAGTATTCCTCACTGGTTCTGCCATGATCCTTGAAAACACTGACAAGAAGAAGTTTTGCTGAAATAAGGCAAGAGACGAGGCAACACATAAAGTCAATATTGTTCATGATCTCACTAGAACAGATTGGCTTAGCAGTTCAGATGGCTGTCACCTGGAAGAAGACTCTGTGGGTATAAGACCAGAGCTGGATATGTTTTGTTGTGGAGAGAGACAATGGCAGGTCCAGAACAGCATTGTTACTAGAGAAGGCTGGCTTGTGTGGGAGGAGGACTGTAGAGAGAAGTGGGCGGCAGTGCAGTCGGAAGGAAAGGCAATGAGGGACTGAAGGAAAGGCAACATTTGGTATGTGGTATGTGTGTGTGAGACAGGCGTGAACATATGTTTCCTCCCACCATGCGCAGTGCAATTATATGCATTTCAGGGATAAGAGAAGTGGGAGACAACATGTACCAAGCCCAGACAAGGCTCCACTATGTTTTAAGAGTGCTCACGGCCAGGTGCGGTGGCTCACACCTGTAATCCCAGCACTTTGGGAGGCCAAGGCAGGCAAATCACAAGGTCAGGAGTTCAAGACCAGCCTGGCCAACATGGTGAAACCCCGTCTCTACTAAAAATACAAAAAAATTAGCCGGGCATGGTGGTGGGTGCCTGTAGTCCCAGCTACTCAGGAGGCTGAGGTAGGAGAATCACTTGAACCTGGGAGGCGGAGGTTGCAGTGAGCCGAAGATTGCGCCACTGCACTCCAGCCTGGTGACAGAATGAGATTCCGTCTCAAAAAAAAAAAAAAAAGAATGCTTATACAATAAGCTTCATTTTTTTATCAGCCACCACAAATGCCAATTTCATTATAATGCCAGTCTATATTCTGAATAATGCTGCTTAATCCAGCTTGTTTGACAGCAAAAACCTAGGATCATTGTTCATAATAATTTCTTGTAGAGGTTGCTTTAAATGAATGGAGGTAAATACATTCTATCAGTAAGCCACCTTTTGTGTGAAACAGGGTCAGCGGTTCACAAAAAAATCTCACAAATTATTATTGTCCTGATTTAATATTTATGGAATGCTGTGCTTGAGTCTTTGCTACCACTTTTATGGCAGTTTCATAAATTATCCCTGTGATATAATTATTCCCATTTTATAGAGGAAGAAATTAAAGGAAATAAAGTAACTTGCTCCGATGTTCAGGAAGTTTGGGTCTTGGGCAGAAATCATGGTTCTTTTCTCAGAACACTGAGTCCCAGCTCTCACACAGACTATAGTGAATGCTGAGAAATTTTTAATGTGACTCTGAACATCCTGACCTTACTCAAATTTTATAAAAACAAGGATAACTATTAAGAGTTTATCTCCATGTATCATTCTCTTATTTACCGGCCTTGGAGTGGTGAGTTGAATCCTATGTATTGCCAAGAACCAATTGCCAGAATTACCACTGGACTCAAGAAAATACCATGGAGAGGGGATAAGGAATGCCAAGCACTGATCATCTGGGCCCCAGTGAGATAGGACTGCCCCTTCTCTCAAGTGTTTCCAAGAAGAGAAATTGCTCAAGGAGGAAACTCATGGGAACTAACTTGGGAGCCTTGCCTTATTCCGTGTAAAGAAGTAAGAAGATTGAGACTGTCTGGATGGTTGCATTTACTGGATTTAAGAAGTTATCCTAATTGAATTCAGATCCTAAATAATTTCTGAAATGCACATCTCCAAAGTGTCAAGTTGCTGAAATATTTACAAATGAGCCTAACGTTTAGTTGTTAGAGAAAAATCTAGGCTGCTATACAAACTGTCCTAGGCTTTCTGGATGGATAAATGTCTATATTTTAAAGAGGTGCCTTCAAATTATTTAATCAATTATAGGAAGAAAGTAAAACAATTATGTCCACGTAAGCACTTGGACTGTTTTGCAACCAGCTATTGTATTTCAGTCCACTGACAGGAACAATTTTTCACTTTCTATAAGGAGTACAGAAAATCTGATTATAGAATGGAGGAAAGGAACAAATAGGAAATCAGAAAGATTAATAGAGATAAGAGCCAAAGAGTCAATTGTTAAAACATGTAGCAGGAACTTAGTAATGAGAAGAATTAGAGAAGTTAGGAGGACAAAAATATGGGTACCATTCTTTAAAGAGTAATAGATTCCTCAGATATACCAAGATCAAAAAGATACAGAAAGGTTGAAAAACTATTATAGATTAAAGAAGCTTAAAAAGACATGGCAAGTAATGCTATATGTGATTCTGGACTGCATTCTGTATGGTAAGAAAAAAATACTGCAAAAGACACTATTTGAACAATTAAATTTGGAATATGGATTGTTGATTAAATACAAGTTTGATATTAATGTTAATTTTCCAGAACCTGATAACTATACTGTAGTTATATATATTCATGTTCTTACATACCGAAATATTTAGGCATAAAGGGTCAAGATAGCTCCAACTTGCTTTCAAATAACTCAGAATAAAAATAGGAATAGGTATACATATATATCCATATATAAATTTATTTTCCTATATATGTAAATATTTTTCTCCATAGGAAAAAATATTCATTTTATCAGTGAATAAAGGATATATATCAGTTCCTTGTGCTAGTCTTCCAATTTTTAAAATGATTTTTAAATTATAACAACATATAAAGTTACCAAGAGTTAACACAGAGTGGAGGAACTAAGCAGTTTCTTAAACAAACAGCCTACTGTATTCTTAAACACTCCTGACTACCCTGACATCAAAGTCCTCATCCACCCATTAATAGAATACATAATGAGAGAAACAGGAAAGCAAAGACTCTAACATATGCTTTTAAAGTTTCCTGTTGACTTTGAACAGCAATTGCATGCCCTGTCGTCGCTTCAAGGTGCCATTTCTATATCTTAAAAATGTAAGGTTCAAACAAAAATCTTTTGTTTCCAGTCCTAACCAGCTTGACTCAAGGAACTGACAGCTGCTGAGGACCACAAAACAAATCAAGAAGGAAGTACCCTAGTGCTCTCCAAATGGCTCTATGTACCCCAATTGTTCAAGAGTCCAGGAGAGTCTGATTTTTTTAGCCGGCTACAGAAATTCTCATTTCTCAATGGTGCTGCAAGCCCTGATATTTTATTATTTCTCCCAGCAGTTTGAGGGTATTCTCATAAGCCCTTTGGGACATGATGTTTAATTACCTTTAAGAAAGCCAGAAATGCTATTTTGTGGCCATGGGCAGATTACATACACATGCACAAATGCACGCCTTCTCACGAAAGTGAGTTTCTGAGGTTTCATGACTCACTGTGTCTTCTATTCAGATAGGTTGTGTATTGTGTTTGGCTGGGACACAAAAACAGGTAGCTTAACTAGTAGCTCGAGCATGTGGCCTTTGTCCATAGCCCAAAGGAGATCACCTGTTGAGCCCTCAGTAGAATTTCCACTCCCTGTCCAAGTCAAAAGCATAACTGAGAAAAGCTGCTGTTCGTCTCCAGGTGTTTCTTCGAGTTAGCCAACTTCCTCCCTCTCCATTGTGTTTCCCAGGAATGGGAGGCTTGAAATTGGGTGGCAGTTAGTGAGGTATTGCATGAAGAGCTGAATAGGAAATAGCACCCAACCAGTCAGACTAGAGATCTCTTTCTCATTTTTTTTTTTTTTTAAGAATTGCTTCTTTTAAAGGATCCAGGACCAGGCTGTATGTAATTGATACGCTTATCGCCCACCCTGTATTCTCACCTTCTCTGGGCTTATTCATATCTACTGCTGCCTTCCAAACACTATGAAAACATTCTTCTAGAAAGTCTCCACAAATCTGCCTCATTGATCCTGCCCACAACTCTCTTTTATATCCTCTCAAGACTTAAGCATAGGTGTATCTTTCCTTACAAAACATGTATTCTTGAAAAGCTGAATGTAAAAGTAATTTTTAAAAACTCAACATGTTTGAGTCAGGTCTTAGTTGCAAGCCAAAGAAATACTCTCAGACTTAACAAAAGAGGAAATTACTAGAAGTATATGTGATTTAGACGACACAATCCATAAGAGAGCTGGAGAAGAAAAACTTGGGGTAGGGGGAAAAGGCCAAAGTCAAGGAAGCAGTCAGTAGGACCAATCCACAGGAAGAATCTGTGGAAGACATTGCCACTGACACCCCCACCCATGCCACAGCAACACACAGCTACACTAGACAATAGTTACTACTGCCCCTGGGAAAAATTTCTTAACCAACTTTGTAAGTTTGAACCATTCCCTCAAAGTTCAGAGTCCCAGTTGGGAGCATCCAGGTGGCTGAGCCTAGGTCATATGCTTCTGTGCTACCTATCTTCACCCTAATAGAAAGTGGTTCCAATCCTGAGAAGCAAGAATAAATGCCCACACATTTTAAAACTTCAAGGGAATTAAAATTGAGAACTTCATTTGCAAATTGAAAACTCTTATTTTAAAAGTTGCCCTCTTGATTGAACTCTTTCCTGAACTCCCATTCTTGGCCCACGGGATTTATTCAGTCAATGCCCCCATCTCTGTGAGCCCCTCTATTCCCTTCTATGTTCACTCTAAAGTAGAGAGAAAATTATTTCAGCACCTTGGTCTTAGCTTACTAAAATATTTGTGAATTTTCATCCATATATCATCATTTCAATGGGCCAAAGAGCAGGAATAAATGAATCTAATTAGAATTGACAGTAACTGACCTCTTCCTTTGCATTTCCCTGGACAGAGGTGTCAGATTATCACATTTTCTAATGCATCTCCTGCTCTGTCTAGTAGAGGGAAGAGCTGCAGCAGTTGGCTGGTCCTTTTCCTGTATCTGAAGGTTCATTATAAGCCTTGAAGACGAATAAAAAATGAATGTGTTCCATCTAAACCATTGCAGGATATCTCCTCATACACACAGATGAGGCCCCAAAATTTCTTAGTTCCTTTTCACGTACTGTTTTCAAGTTGCTAAATGAAGGCAGAGATTTTAGAATATCTGTTTTCCAATTATCCTCCCTTCTTAGAAAGGCATCATAGGCCAGGCACGGTGGCTCACACGCCTGTAATCCCAACACTTTGGGAGGCCGAGGCGGGTGGATCACGAGGTCAGGAATTCCAGAGCAGCCTGGCCAATATGGTGAAACCCCGTCTCTACTAAAAATACAAAAATTAGCCGGGCATGGTGGCATGTGCCTGTAGTCCCAGCTACTCGGGAGGCTGAGGCGGGAGAATTGCTTGAACCCGGGAGGCGGAGGTTACAGTCAGCCGAGATGGTGCCACTGCACTCCAGCCTGGGTGATAGAGCGAGACTCTGTCTCAAAAAAAAAAAAGAAAGAAAGAAAAAGAAAAGAGAAAGGCATCATAGACACAGGGTGTCTCTCCTCTAGGACATTGAAAATGCTCATGGAGTTCAGGAGACTAACATTGAGCGTTTCCAGCGCTCCAAGTGTTGTCCTAGGTACTGCATGTATTTTAGCACATTTTATCCATACAATGACCCATGGAAAGTAATGGTATGCCCTCTTTTCAGGTGATTAAATGGAAACTAAAATAACTAAATGGCCCAAAGTACAGAGCAGTAAATAAGAAAGCCAGGATTCAAACACATACTCCCCAGAACTCCTGCTCTTTTCACTCATACCATGATACCTTGAATTATTCTCTTGTCTCCTATTCTCTCTCACTCCCTTTCTCTCTCTCTTTCTCTTTCTCTCTCTCTATATATATGTGTGTGTGTGTGTGTGTGTACACACACACATATAAATAGCACAGATATATATGTATATGTAGCTGGATGTGCTACTTAGGCCCTCAGAAGAAGAAATTCGGTGATGCCTTCTATATGCCATATCCTGTTTGAAGTCCTTGGTGCAGTTAGGTAATATTTTAACTTTTTTGTGTGATTAGAAAAATACACCCACGATATAAATTAATCTCAAAAATAAGACAAAGTATAAGAACAAATTAAATCATTTATAATTGATGGGATGGATTCTATTTGGTTAATATATCTAAATCTAAGACAATTACAAGACTTCAATGCTATACAAATGTTTTTAGTATAGAACCAAATTCAAATTATTCTAGGCTGACTCTTCAGGCCCCTCAAGAAAAGGGACTGAATGTGAGAGTTCCAGAGAGCCTGATATCAGAAATATTATACAGTCTTGCAACATGGCAGCACCTCGTCTCTACAATACAAAACAAAAAAAATAGCCGAGCATGGTGATGTGTGCCTGTAGTCTCAGCTACTTGGGAGGCTGAGGTGGGAGGATCACCTGAGCCTGGGGAGGTCAAGGCTGCAGTGAGCCATGATTGTGCCACTGTACTCAGCCTGGGTGACAGAATGAGACCCCAGAAAAATGAGTGAGAGAGAGAGAGAGACAGAGAGAGAGAGAGAGAGAGAAAGAAAAAGGGGGAAGGAAGGAAGGGAGAGAGAGAAAAAGAAAGAAAGAAAATGGAAGGAAGGAAGGAAGGGAGCAAGGGAGGAAGGAAAGAAGGAATTATTTTCACTTAATTATTTGATTAATTAATCTTGTATAATTTGATCCCTGGCAGAAGAGGCAAAATAACAATGTTCATGATGAAAGGCTGATACAAATGAAGCAGCAGTGGCAATTAGTTGTCCTTTCTGCAGCTGAAGAGAATGCCTGTGGAAACCAGCCCAGCCTGACAACTGTCGCCAGGCCTCCTCTGCATTTCTCATCTCATCATTATAGGAGCAGATGTGGGAGGGAAGTGGATTCATTTATTCACCCAACAAATGTTTATTGAGTGCCTACTATAGGCCTGGCAAGTCTTCTAGGTACTGGTTAGCATTGAGCAAGACAGACAAAACCCTGCTCTTACAGGAAAACAAAATGAGAAATGTTTTCCGAGGACCAAAGTCCTTGTATCTGAATGTTTCAAATAAACTTCAAGCTTTTTGTATTTTCTAGTTTTATGCCAGGACTAGAGGAACAAACCATCCCCTTATGATTTGCTGAAAGGCAGTGCCCAGTGAAATATTGCTCAAGATAAGGAAAGTCATATTACAGAGGGAGCAGGTTCAAATTAGAGTGATATTCAAGTAAAAAGAGTCTCCAGGTTGGAAGGTGGTTTAAACCCAACAATGCCAAAGTAATAGGTGGATTGGTTTTTCCCCTCTCATCCACGTATGCACCTGGACCGAGACAATGCCGTATCTAACCGAAAAGCAACTTAGCCAGGCATGGCGGCTCATGCCTGTAATCTCAACACTTTCAGAGGCCAAGACAGGCACATCACTTGAGGTGAGGAGTTCGAGACCAGTCTGGCCATGTAGTAGATGGCCATTTAGTAGAGACAGTGAAACCCCGTCTCTACTAAACTGCAAAAATTAGCCTGGCATGGTGGTGGGTGCCTGTAATTCCAGCTACTGGGGAGGCTGAAGCAGGAGAATTGCTTGAACCTGGGAAGCGGAGGTTCAAGCGATTCTCCTAGTTCAGTGAGCTGAGATCACGCCACTGCACTCCAGCCTGGGCAACAGAGTGAGACGCCTCAAAAAAAAAATGAATGAATAAAAAGAAAAGCAACTTAGAAACTGTAACTATTTTCCCCAACAGTCTCAGGGAACACGGCCTCTTTTCCATGGAGGCTTCTTGATGCCTTTTATATGTGTGGGTGTCCCTAGGCATGTTTTAAGCTGATTTCTGGGTGTAGCAGGCTTTTCCCATCCTTGACAATAAAACACACCCAGATTACCACACAGAGTTCCTGGCTTCAAAAGGTCCGATGCCTTTTTAAAGAAACTTCTCTTGGGGCTTCCAATTCTTAGAAGTTAAAGAAAACTCTTAATGCCTTTCCTGCCCTATGACTACACAACATGGACAAGGTACAAAACGTTAATTTGGAAAACCAACCTTATCAAGTCACATGGGTGCATATTCATAAATTATTTGTCTCCCAGCCCATTAAGTTTCCATTATCTGTTTCCAAGATTGTTGCACCTCTCTCAGGCCCACCCTGTTTCCTATTTGTGAGCTGAGGCTGAAGAGTAGGACCTGCTGCTCAGGTGTGGGGACATTCAGTAATTAGAATGTTAAGCACTGCGAGTTTTAGGTTGTATCTACTTTGTCTAGAAATGTTTCCAGTTACTAACAAAGGACATGGAGAATCTTGTTCTTTATTGTCTATAGCCCAGTTTGTCTTTCACACTTGAATGACTGAATCGTCATTTTTGGGGAGACGGGGAGATTTGTATGAAAGAAGGATGAATGACATACAGCCTCCTCCTTGCAGTATATAATCCACTAATTTGAGCAACAAAAAGAAATAAAAAGATGCAACAAAACAACTTAATTTCTAATTCTAGGATTGCTACATCAGATAGGGCTTCCTAATGTTTTTGCAGAAGAAGATCACTTTTTACTTAAAACACAGTCATGTATTCATATCCCCCCACATGCAAACACAAACTGTGTACCCCCCTACACACGCAAACACACATAATTGTGGTTGTACTTTAGGTGTGTATTATTTAATAAAATATATAGTATCCAGATGCTACTATGTTTTCAGAAAGCTTTCAATAAATTTCTATTTTAAGTAATTAATTTTAAGAGTTAATCACAGGGGCATCTATATACATTTGAAATACAACTGTGCCTAAATACAGAAGATATTTTAGAGTCACAGGTATACCTATGGACTCATACATTCCTAATAATAGCACTGAGGTTTTCACAGACTTGGATCAGCCCACAAGTTGAAAAGTTCAGAGTTGGGGAAGAAACACTCTATTCCACTTGAGTTGGGTCAGAACCAGGCTAGGCATTTTGGAGGCCTCAGGTTTAATTGTGTCTGTGCCATTTAGCTGTGTGAACTTGGACATGTTGCTTAATCTCTTTGGGCTGCATTTTCTTCATCTGTAAAGTGGTGATGATACAATCTAATGATGTCGATATGATTCTCAAGTTAGATAATAGATATTATATAAAGATAAAGATGCTAAATTACTAGGATCACAGCTACACTTTCCCTTTCTATGACTCTCAGATCTGGTCCCACAGCAAATAGCTTATATGTACTTGCTTCATACAGCCAGAAGTAAGCAACATTTCCAAAGAACCCAAGCCATATGGGTAGTGACATTTACCCACCACTAGCCATGCTGAATTTAAACTGATGACCTATTCATAAAAGCTTTGGTGTCTGTTTTCCAGCCTACCAAGTCATTTCCCAAACAGAAACTCTGCCAATTCCTCCGTCTCCTGATATGATATGCAATGTTGTGCAATGTTGCTCTCTTAAGAACTGGCCTTTCTATTTATTGTAATTTATTCAAAGATTTTTAGAGAATATGAATTTACAGCAGAGATGAACTAAGGAAGTACTGCATTTGTGGAAGAGATGGTATCACTGAAATTTTAGCATTTTGAGTCCATAAATAGTGCCCCTTCTGTAATCCATTATTCTCTGCAGGGATCCGTGGGCTCAAATCTATTTAACTCACTTTTTTTTTCTCATGTCATCTGGTAAGATTTAGCCATAACTGCATAACTGTAGCAGCTTCAGCCCAAATTACCATGCTGCTTGGAAATGGCTTATAGCATGCTACTCTACGATGACTATGTCTTTTTCTCATAGCAAACTTAAGAGTGTGGGTCCCATGCTAAGCATACATTCATAACCCAGGAAGAGTGAGCGGGGCAGCACAGGAGCAGGTATCATCCCATAGGGCATTGCTCAGCGAGCTGCAGCTGCTCAGCCCTTACCCCAAGGGCAGCCAAAACATCTAGATCAAAGGGAGTTCAGAAAGAATGAAAGCACAACCCTAATTCAATACAGGAAAATTGCCATGACTGTAGTGCTTAGTTCATTCTTCTAAGACAACAACAACAGAAGGGAGAGAAAAAAAAAGATAAAAAATCCCTAAGATCAGGCTCTGGCATCAGGAATTAGGCTGCCAAGGCGGAAGGCATACCCAGTGGGGAAGGCAGCTCGTTTTCCAAGATTAATCAGAGTGCTTTGAGTCTGCTTTTATTTCCAAATGTACTACTGCCAAGGTACAACATAAGCCACTTAATTCCTTCCCACAAACTAGAATTATTAGCTGTCATACAAGCTACACAATTTTAATAAAATCCCAGGAAAAGTAAAACGCATTTAAGGTGGAAGAGTTAAACCAGGAGATAGGTAGTCAGAGGCTGAGTGGGGTTCTACCTCATTAACAGCCTAATATAAATCCATCTCTGGGTGTTGATGAAAAGCAGTTACACTACGTGGTTACCTGTTGACACCTGCCCAGTAAGTTGTTTTGTGATGGACAGAGGGCAACTTGTAATCATCACAAGAGCTTGCAATAACAATAAGCAAAATTTCTTAGTGGAAAAACCAAAGATACAGAAAAATCTATGAGAAAATTATACTTTCCACTATAGGAGTTTCCTTTACAGACTGATTTGGGGCAATAATTGGTCTAAAACTAGGCAAAAAGGAGAAGAAACATTTGATTTGGAGGCCTTCGATCCAAAATGTCTTTCCACCTTCCCTTCAGAGGGCAGCTGACATTGATCACCCTCCCCCATCCCCATTAGTCACTCCTCAGTTGAGACAAATCTGCAGCAGGAGTGTGTTAAAATGCCACTGTTACTTGGGAGGGTGACACATGAATGCCTGTGATCACATCAGTTTACCAGGTTGCTTGGTAATGGGTCAAGCCTCTGAGCTTTAAGACGAAGAGTGAAGCAATCAAGTTCTAATAGAATGAGGATTTTTTTTTTGAGGTAGAAAGGGGTGCACCTGGGATGGGAATTCCTGTGAGGAGTGCCCCAGAATGAGTCTCCTCCCACCCTAGGGATGTGGGGAGAGAGTGGGGGAACAGCAGACCACAAAAGAGGCAAAGAGGACTCACGGCTCTGGACTAGACTAGACTAGACTGACTCTACCTTTTACTCCAGAACAAGAATGCACTAGCTGAAGCTGTAGTTGCATTTTGAACCAAGTCTTAAATTGCCACCTTTCATAGTTTGCCTGAGGACATTTATCAGTTTGATTGGAAACACCACCAACTCAGACCCAAATAGTTCATTCTTTAATAATAATCTTAACCACAAAGATAATAGAGCATAGATTAAGTCTTCCTTTAATAGATTGTTTCAGACCAAGAGAAATGTATTCTTGGTCATACAGTAAAGCTCCTTTGAATTTACCCAGTAATTGCTACTGCATACTGGTATAACTGAAGAATTTAATTTGGAAAAGCAAACACAGTGGGTTTTGTTTTGGTTTGTTTTAAACTGAAAAACTGCATAATATGTTTCTAGTTTCACATATGTCTACTTCTTGTTCAACATGGTAGAGCAAAAGTAAGTTAGGAAAACACATTTACTAGGATTTTGCAATTATTTTTCTATTTTTATTTAATCTATTTTCATTTGTTGTTTGCCTTTCCTGCCATTTCTGTAAATGTCCACATTTATTTTTCTATGATTTCTAAATAGAGAAGAATTGAAACAGGGAATTGAATTATTATAAAAATAAACTTCCCAGTGAACAAATCCATCAATACTAGATGAGATGCCTTTCTTTCCTAGCAAGCGCGCTCTACACTGGGGCAGCAACCCTCTTCTGTTCTGAACAGACCGTGTGGTTCATATCAGCTCTCCTTCTTATGAGAGATTATTGTCCTTGTGTATGTTGAGTAAAAAGCAAATATCTAAAAGACATCTAATTACAAATTCCTATTCTTACTAGAGGAGAGAAACAGTATGTGGAGAAGGCAAATTCTTGAGGATTTTCTTTATCAGTGGTTTATTGTTGATTGGGAAAAAAGGGAAACTGGGATGAGAGAGACAAAGAAGATGAATTTGAATCAGCTATCACCACTGCTGATGCCTCATCCTTAGAATTTCTAGGGTAGACCCTGCTTAGGTGAGGCACAATAAGGCTTAAAAATAAGGCAGGATAAAGTTCATTGCTCAATCCTTCTATCTAGGCAGCCCCCACCTGAAGGTCCTGATACAAAATTATCATCCTCAGAGCCAAAAATCACTCCACTCTCCAGTAACTTGAAAAATTAGCCAATATCACTGCTGAAATGCATCCTACAATTGTTTTAGACATATCAGTTCTACTAATTTGCATAAAGCAGTACGGAAGAAGTCCCTGCAATCCAAACCCTTTCCAGAATGTATCAGTCACGTTGTTTCTCAGGACTGCTTTCAAATAAGATTAGTACCTTTTGACTAGACCTGGCAATAGAAAGTGGGTAACATCACAAAACAATTAGGTTATTTCCAGTGGGTCAACGAAATAAGTTAGTTCCTCAGAAGCTGAATGAAGTTTGCAGTGTGTGGTGTTGGAATGCCATCTGATCCAAACTCCCACTGAATGGGTAGGAGAATCTTCTACACCATGTCCCCAACAGATGGCCAGTCTCCACTTTAACATTTTCAGTGTGCAACACATACAACCCACGCATTTACAGAATGGCCCATTTCTGTTTTCCAACAGCTCCAGTGTTTAGGTTGTGTCAGTATCACACAGTTTTCTCCCTCTCTACATTTTTATTCATCTGATGGTTTCACTCCCCTACTCTAAACACAGATAACTCTCTAGTGGCTTCAGAAGAAATCTAAACGCCTTAGCAAGGCATTTCAAGACCTTGATGATGTACATCTCATTTTTCCACCCAAATCTATTTTCATTTCCCTACTTCAGCCATCTATTCAGCAAATATATATATATCAAACCATATATATATATGATGTATATCTCATTTTTCCACCCAAATCTATTTTCATTTCCCTACTTCAGCCATCTATTCAGCAAATATATATATCAAACCATATATATATATATATATTTTTTTTTTTTTTCTTGAGATGGAGTTTTACTCTTGTCACCCAGGCTGGAGTGCAGTGGCACAATCTCGGCTCATTTTAACCTCCACCTCATGGGTTCAAGTGATTCTCCTACTTCAGCCTCCAAAGTTGCTGGGATTATAGGTGCTTGCCATCACGCCCGGCTAATTTTTGTATTTTTAGTAGAGATGGGGTTTCACCAGGTTGGCCAGGCTGGTCTCAAACTCCTGACCTCAGGTGATCCACCTGTCTCGGCCTCCCAAAGTGCTGGGATTACAGGCATAAGCCACCGTGCCCAGCCAAACCCTATATATTTTGAACACTGTGGTAAACATTGGCACCACAAAGAAGAAAAAAAGTTTCTTGAACTCAGAAGCTCACAGGAGCTCATTCCAGGTACCCTGAGCACTGGCAACACCAAGCTATTAACTGTTTCTCAACACGTCGCATATCCTCCCAACACTGTGGGACTGTTCTCTCTTCTTGAAATGCCCTTTCCTCCCTATTACTGCTGGTAGAAATTCTAATTATTAGTGCTACTTCCTATGAGAACGCTTCTCCAACCTCAAAGTCAGAATTGAGGACTCCCCACCCATCTACTGCCATAGCATTTAACATCTAGAAAGTAGAGCCTGAGAGAAGGGGATACCTAAATAATACCAATGGGGGAAATCTGGCTTATGTAAGCAAAGATAGAAATTTATCAGAAGGATATGGCATAACTACAAGAACGAAAAGAGAAGTTGAAAGTCAGATTTTAGAATCAACTGGAACCTGGGTAGCTCTTGGGTTCCAGGGAACAGACACTAGAGGTGATTTCGTTGTTGTTGTTGTTGTTGTTGTTGTTGTTGTTGGCCAGGGAGCATCAAAACACTTTGATTGACAATGCTGTCAAGGCTGAATCCAATTGAGGGGAGCGGAAGGAGGGCTGTTGCCAGAAAAAAAGAGATAATACGAGGCGGGAATGCAGCAGATGCACCCTCCACTACAGGTGATAGCCAGAGGAGTTATCAAATTTTTCCAAATGAACTTGCTTAGAAACTCCTAGGGTCCTGATTTAAATATAGATAAATTCATATATGGTAGATCCACAATAGGATGTTAACAAAGTAAAGATTATGAAGCATGGTTAAACTTTAACCCAAAAAAGAGTATTTATTGCACGCATAACAATACAAAAACATTTCTGTAAGACAAAATCACTCGTTTTTTCCTACGTTCCCTTCCAACACTTGATCATATATATAAAATCCCAGCATAAATCGAGTTATGTTTTCCAAATTTTCCCCTTTTTCTATGTCTTGCACATTTTTTCAGGCTGCTTCACAGTCTTTAACATTTTTATATTAATTATTTTTTAATATCCTGTGTGTTCCTAACACAGAATTTGTTCATTGAATGTTTAGGATATTTCTAATGTTTGCTTCTATACATAGTTCTATCATTAATATCTTCATGTATACAAATTTTCTTTTCTTTCTTTTAACTTTTATTGTAAGTTCAGGGGTACATGTACAGATTTCTTATATGGGTGAATTGCATGTCATGGAGGCTTGGTGTACAGATTAGTTCATCACCCTGGTAATAAGCATAGTAGTAATAAACATGGATAGTTTTTCACTCCTCACCCTCCTCCCACCCTCCACCCTCAAGTAGGCCCCAGTGTCTATTGTTCCCCTCTTTGTGTCCATATGTACTTGATGTTTAGCACCCACTTATAAGTGAGAACACACGGTATTTGGTTTTCTGTTTCTTCGTTAGTTCCCTTAGGATAATGGCTCCCAGCTCCATCCATGTTCCTGCAAAGGACATAATCTCATTCTTTTTCATGGCTGCATAGTATTCCATGGTGTAGATGTACCACATTTTCTTTATCCAGTTTGTCATTAATGGGCATTTAAGTTGATTCCATGTCTTTGCAATTGTGAATAGTGCTGCGATGAACATATGCATGCAGGTGTCTTTATGGTAGAATGATTTGTATTCCTTTGGTCATATACCCACTAATGGGATTGTCAGATCAAAGAGTAGTTCTGTTTTAAGTTCTTTGAGAAATCACCATACTGATTTCCACAGTGGTTGAACTAATTTACACTCCCACCAGCCATGTATAAGCATTCCTTTTTCTTCTCAGCCTCACCAGCATCTGTTATTTTTTGACTTTGAATATGGTCATTCTGACTGGTGGAAGGTGGTATCTCTTTGTGATTTTAATTTGCATTTTCCTAATGATTAATAATGTTGAGCATTTTTTCAAATGCTATGTGTATGTCTTCTTTTGAGAAGTATCTGTTCACATATTTGCCCACTTTTTAATAAGATTATTTTTTCTTGTAAATTTGTTTAAGTTCCTTATAGATTATAGATATTAGACCTTTGTCAGATGCATGGTTTGCAAATATCTTCCCCTCTATGCACACAAGCTAGAAAACCTAGAAGAAATGGATAAATTCCCAGACACATACAATCTTCCAAGACTGAACCAGGAAGAAATTGAATCCCTGAACAGACTAATAATGAGATCCAAAATTGAATCAGTAATAAAAAGCCTACCACAAAAAAGTCCAAGACCAGACAAATTCACAGCCAATTCTACCAGATGTATAATGAAGAGTTGGTACTACTCCTACTGAAACCATTCCAAAAAATTGAGGAGGAGGGACTCTTCCCTAACTCATTCCATGAGGCCAGCATCATCCCGATACCAAAACATGGCAGAGACACAACAAAAAAAAGAAAACTTCAAGCCAGTACCCTTGATGAACATAGATGCAAAAATCCTCAACAAAATACTAGCGAACTGAATCCAGCAGTACATCAAAAAGCTAATCCATGATGCTCAAGTAGGTATCATCCCTGGGATGCAAGGTTGATTCAACATATGCAAATCAATAAATGTGATTAATCACATAAACAGGATTAAAAACAATAATCACATGATCATCTCAATAGATGCAGAAAAGCCTTTTGATAAAAGTCAACATCGCTTCATGTTATAAACCTTCAACAAACCAGGCATTGAAGGAACATACTGCAAAATAACAAGAGCCATCAATGACAAACCCACAGCAACATCATACCGAATGGGCAAAAGCTGGAAACATTCCCCTTGAAAACCAGAAAAAGATAGGAATGCCCTCTCCCTACACTTATTCAACATAGTACTGTAAGTCCTGTCCGGTGCAATCAGACAAGAGAAATAAATAAAATGCATTCAAATAGGAAGAGAGGAAGTCAAACTATCCCTGTTTGCAGATGACACGATTCTATAGCTACGATATAGATATAGATTCCATAGTCTCTCCCAGAAAGCTCTTCCTTGGTCTGATAAACAACTTCAACAAAGTCTCAGGATACAAAATCAATGCACAAAAATCACTAGCATTTCTACATGCCAACAACATCCAAGCAGAGAACCAAATCAAGAATGCAATTACATTCACTGTAGCCACAGAATAATAAATTACCTAGAAATACAGCTAACCAGTGAGGTAAAAGATCTCTACAACAAGAATTACAGAACACTGCTCAAAGAAATCAGAGATGACACAACACATGGAAAAACATTCCATGCCTATGGATAGGAAGAACCCATATTGTTAAAATGGCCATACTGCCAAAAGCAATTTATAAATTCAATGCTATTCCTTTCAAACTACATTCTCCACAGAATTAGAAAAAAACTATTTTAAAATTCATATGGAAACAAAAAAGGGCTTCAATAGCCAAGGCAATGCTAAGCAAAAAGAACAAAGATGGAGGCATCATGTTACCTGACTGCAAACTATACTACAGGGCTATAGTAACCAAACAGCATGGTAGTGGTACCAAAACAGATACAGTGACCAATGGAACAGAATAGAGAACTCAGATATAATGCTACATGCTTACAACCACATGATCTTTGACAACATTGACAAAAACAAGCAATGGAGAAAGGACTCCCTCTTCAATAAACGGTGCTGGAATAACTAGCTAACCATATGTAGAAGACTGAAACCGGACTCCTCCCTTACACCATAGACAAACGTCAACTCAAGATGGATTAAAGACAAATGTAAAACAAATTTTCTTTTCTTTGTATCATTTCCTTAGGATAAATACCAATAAGTGGGATTTTGGTAAGATAAATAAAGTAGGAATATTTTATGGTTCTTGAAATGCTTTGTCATATTATTATAGAAAAGATTTACCAGTTAAAATTTGCCATCAGCAATGTTTAATTCTCCCAAAGTATACGGCATTACCATAATTTTGCTCATCATTAAGATTTAAAGTACAATTTGCTGTCTGGAAACAACAGATGCTGGAGAGGATATGGAGAAATAGGAATGCTTTTATACTGTTGGTGGGAGTGTAAATTAGTTCTACCATTGTGGAAGACAGTGTGGTGATTCCTCAAGGATCTAGAACCAGAAATACCATTTGACCCTGCAATCCCATTACTGGGTATATACCCAAAATATTATAAATCATTCTACAATAAAGACACATGGACATGTATGTTTATTGTAGCACTACTTACAATAGCAAAGACTTGGAACCAACCCAAATGCCCATCAATGATAGACTGGATAAAGAGAATGTGGCACATATACACCATGGAATACTATGCAGCCATAAAAAAGAATGAGATCATGTCTTTTGCAGGGACATAGATAAAGCTGGAAACCATCATCCTCAGCAAACTAACATAGGAACAGAAAACCAAACACCGCATGTTCTCACTTATAAGTGGGAATTGAACAATGAGAACACATGGACACAGGGAGGGGAACATCACACACCGGGGCCTGTCGACGGGTGGGGGGAAGGGGAGGGAGAGCATTAAGACAAATACCTAATGCTTGCAGGGCTTAAAACCTAGATGACAAGTTGATAGGTGCACCAAACCACCATGGCACATGTATACCTATGTAACAAACCTGCACATTCAGCACATGTACCCCAGAACTTAAAGTAAAATTTTTAAAAATAAATAAATAAAGTACAATTTGTTGTTTAAATTTGTTTAGTATATGAGGGGATTAGCCACAATATGTTCTCTTATACCTGTGTGAGAAGCTGCTTGGTCTGAAGCTACCATTTAGCTGTCCTGATGTCGTAGTTCTTGTGTGTGTGTGTGTGTGTGTGTGTGTGTGTGTGTGTGTGTGTTTTACCTAAATATCTTCTCCATTCCAGCAAAAACAATTGTCCTGCTTTCCAATATACATAATTATGTTAACGTGACTTTTTTTGAGCCCTCAAGTGTTTTGCTGGGCAGAAAAGTTTACTTATAAGTTTACATAAGTTAAAAAGAAATAACTTTCAATTCATTGAAGTTACAAATTTAAAAACCTTAGGCTTTTGAGTTCACCTTTAAAATCTTATTTTATTTACAAGCAAAATTTTTTATAATAATTTCTTTGAAAATTGTTTAGAATAATATTTTGTTCTATTTATAAACTTTTTAAACACAAATCATTTTAACTGCATTAATACAGTATTCCTTTCTTATTTAAATACAGTACTTGTTTATTTTTTTAAGAACTAGTATTTTTTAAGTACTACTATTTTGACAACAATTTTTCTAAGTACTTTTAAGACATTATTATTCTGGTAAATTAAACCTATAAATACAATGTACTTTATGCTTTTTAAACTCGTCCAATACTTAATAAGCTTGCTAAGATTTAAGTTAAAAGCACAAGTCTAAATTACTTATGCAATTACACATTTCAAATTGGAATGATAAGGTTGATCTATGACAATAAGTAAAAGTGTTCTTAAACATTATGAAATAAAATAATAGATATATCAGATTCTTTATTATAAAAGTATTAATGCTATATGTTTGATTTTCTTAAACATCTGTAATTAGTGCTAAGTCTACCCACCGGAAAACTTTCTTGGCTAACTGAAGTTATTCCTCCACCAGAGCTTCAGCCTGGGATACTGCCTGAATTTGTGTTAACTACTCTGGGGAAACACATTGAACTCAATATATAGTCTATAACAGGAACCCCATAACTTAAAAGAAGTATTGGTTTCATGTCCCTCCTAGTCTCATACCCAAAATGGTCTTCATCTCTGTTTATCTCATAGAAGCCTGAAAATCTTACCCAGACTGGTCACTTCATGGTCCTGGGCACTTGATTGGCTTCCAACTCCAAAATGCTTTGAACCGGACTCAGTTCTGTATTCCCGTTTCATTTTTATCCTGTCATGTCATGTCATGGAAACAAAAAAGGGCTTCAATAGCCAAGGCAATGCTAAGCAAAAAGAACAAAGATGGAGGCATCATGTTACCTGACTGCAAACTATACTACAGGGCTACAGTAACCAAACAGCATGGTCCTACCCATAGGTCCTATGGGTAGTAAAATAATATACAGCTGAAATTATGATTTCAGCTGTATATTATGTATGGCTTTGTCTGACAACTCAGTCACAACTTCCAACTTTATTCTACTGACAATAATAAATTAACAGCCACTTTTGAGCTTTTGTTTTTCTCCCCTTTGGAATTCATGTCTTTCTTTTCTATTATGAAATCTTTAAGATGAAGTCTTGCAGAAATTGACTTGATTAATTTATAGGGCACTACATGACTTTACATTGCACCTCTCACATTGTTGGGTTCATTAAGTAGTTATACCTTTAATATAACACTGATTTGTAGCCAAAGCATCTAGAAGCATATGTTGTATAAAAAGGGGCAGAGAATTTGCAAGGACTAGAAAAAAAATTTTGTCATTATTTCAACACTTGGTGATATCTAAGAATTCCAGGTATTTGATGAACATAGGAATATTTTAATGACCACATAATTAGAAAAACAATAATTATGGTTCATTGAGCATTTACTCCAGTGCCAAATAAGATTCACTGAGCTCTCACCATGTGCCAGGGACTCTGCAAAGTACTTTATATGTGTTTTCATTTTATCTAGTCATTATAGAACCCATGGAGTGATAGGTTTCATGATTTTCTGACATTCTTGGTGTCAGGGGAAGAAAAGGAGAACTCTTAAGACAGAAACATATATGTACTAAACACCAGTGTGACACCTAGCTCTGGGAATAATTAAGAGCTATTAAATAAAGTGTCTCTTGAATAGTTTGGGGTGTTTTGACTTTCATATGTTAATCAGCAACAGACATTATATGCATATTGGAAGACATGCTACTGTGAAATCATTTTAATCTTCACATTCAAGTTTCAGGCCTGCTACTGTTTGAATGTACCCCCCAAAAAGTACATGTGTTGACATTTTAATCCGCAATGCAACAGTCTTCACAAGTTGGACTTTTAAGAGGTGATTTGCTCATGACGACTTTGCCCTTATAAATGGATTAAGATCATTATCGTGGGAATGGATTAGTTACTGTGGGAGTGAACTCCTGATACAACAGTAAGTTCTACCCTCACACTTGCATCTGTTTCCTGCCTTCAGCCATGGGAGGACCCCCACCAGACGCTGGTGCTGTGCTCTGAGGCCTTCTAGCCTCCAGAACTGTGAGCCAAATTAACTTCTGTTCTTTATAAACAACAGTCTGTGGTATTCTGTTATACAGCAGAAAACAGACTAAAACAAGGCCCTATAAGAGTTAAAGGAGAACTCAGTCGTGTTTATAGTCACAAGCAATCCTACCATGTGTCACTTCACACAACGGTCCCAATATTGCTGCCAACCTGAGAGACCATCTATTGACCATTCATTTCCATCCTGAGGTGACAGAATGGCTACCAAGCCAAAGGGAATGGAGTGGAAAGAGCAAGTAAATCCATACAATGCCACCTTTTTCTTGTTACCCTCCCACCATCCCTACTTGCTAAAATAGTATCACCAGCACTTCCATTTTACCTATTCCCTTCCCTCAGCTCTACCTTCCCCAGATCATTTTCCACTTCCATCCAGAAATAATCAAGAAAAGTTATCACGTATGTGGTAGGTGAATGTCTTTCTTCCTTTGTATATACAAAGTCAAACAAAGGTTTGTAGAGAGAAGCTAAACAAAGTTTACAAACCTTTTCGAAAGCAAACCAGGTTGAGAGGATGGTAGAGGGAGAGAAAGCATGGCATCTGCTACCCAGAGGGACCGAGGAGCAAAGTCTTCACTGGCAATTCTGGAGCTGAAACAGGGCAGCTGACATGAGGACAAATCATCAAATAAGCTCCCCAATTCACAATGTGGCTCACAGATGGGTTTCAATAACAAGGCTAAGCCATCTGGTAGCTTCCTATTTTAGCTAATTATTCTTGGTGACTAAGTGCTAAGCTCTTAAAATTGTTGTTCAATTTTTTTCCCACCATCCCTCTATATTTTAGTTTCCTGGGGTAAATCCCTGCTCTAGTTACTTTTCTGGGGGAAAGTCTGGCTTATCTACTATTCTTAGCAGAAAAGCCCCTCAATACTTACTTTAGCACTCTGGTTCTGTAAGTGTTCCAACAAAATACGCTACCATAAACAGCAGAGTTAATTAAGCGCCCACCCCAGAAGTCTAGGGGTATGGCCCAAAGCAGCTCTCACTAGCAGTCTTGTATGAGACCTTAACATTTCACATCAGGTTTGATTTTTGCCTTCTTATTATATATGTGCCTTATTTGAATATGAAAAATGATTCAATTATCATTGAGTAAAATTGAATCTCCAGGAAGATGCATCAAATTATGATGTGTCATTTTATACCATTTATAAAGCTGTCACATTGAAAAAGTGGAACTAAGGAAAAAGATTTCAGGAATGTAGGGAATAACAGAAGAGAGCAGCCCTTGTTAGGTGCTGATAAGTAGATAAGTGAATTCCTGAAGAAATAATTACTGGATCTACGAAGCAGCCTAAAACTGAAAAACATCATTGGTAAATTAGACTGGCCAGAGGCCTTGGCCCCTAAGGCTTCATTCAACCTTAGGGATGACCTTCATCTGCTCCCAGCCCCAGACCCTGAGAGCCACCACTTGGGGCCAACCTGTTTCCTCAGTCCAGAAGAGAATGAGATAAAGGGGACATAGGCTCCAGATACTCCAAACTATAATCGAAGTGCAGTGGCCTGATCTTGGCTCACTGCAACCTCCACCTCTCGGGCTCAAGGGATTCTCCTGCCTCAGCCTCCAAGTAGCTGGGATTACAGGCACGTGCCACCACACCCAGCTAATTTCTGAATTTTTAGTAGAGACGGGGTTTTGCCATGTTGGCCAGGCTGGTCTCAAACTCCTGACCTCAAGTGATCTGCCCACCTCGGCCTCCCAAAGTGCTAGGATTACAGGCGTGAGCCATTGCGCTCAGCCCAGAGCCTGAGTTTCACAGCATGGCTAATGTTGATTCAAATCCCAGCTCTTTCTTTCAGAAACGATGTAACTTTGGGCACAATTGTTTCAATTTCCTCAGTGATAAAGGTGTAATGCTTATCTCACAGGACTCTTAAAGACTAACTGAGGTTAAACATTTAATAGGTGCACATAGTTGGTGCTTTCAAAACGATAAAAAGATTTCTTGATTTAGGAAGTGTACAATGATTTACAAAGAAAATAAAGCCCTTCTATTTCATATAACTAATCTAATACTTTAAATGAGCTCGCTCCCACACTGCTGGAGGTAGACTGAAATGAAGAGAAATGAAGAGCACACATTTGTCCACTGACCGTAACTTTTGCCTTTTAGGAGTCTTGGATGTGTGTTTAGCCTGTTGGTTTTAACTGCTGCCCATTGCAGAACGTCTGGTCAAGTCCCTGAAACAGTCACACTGGAGTCCACTGAGGGACGACGGCTGCCGAGCCTGCGGTCTGTACCCTGCTAAGTGGGCCTGATCAATGAGCAGCAAGGCTGTATCTCCTTGCAGCAAGCTCCCTCTGCATGTGAATGTCTCCATGCCAGAGTTCAAAATGCACAGTGAAATGAAGCAGCTTCTCTTATTTTGACCTTTCCTTGAATCTCTCTAAATGCATCCTTGATCGTTAACATTCAAGGCTTGCTTTTCCAAGTTGTCTCTCCTTCCCTCCACACCCATCAGGGCTGAATGGGGAGGCTCCCATCCACTTTCCTGTGGCCTCTTCCATGAGGCTCTTGAGCGCTATCCAGTCCTGGCTTATAGTACCTTAAAAGTCAACCTCTATGTAGATATGTAGCTACATCATGGATGTTTAGGAAATTTGAAAACATTTCCTCTGTAGATAAATTCTAGATTTCAAGACTATTGTCTTGCTGCGGTCTCAAAAATTCTGTTCCACTTGTCAAACGCTGGATATAGACTCCGCATTCTTGTGGTAATAATCCCAAACCTCCCTAATATAAATGGACGTCTCTGGCAAAACAGAGAGAAATACAAACAAGAAAAGCACACTGATAGATTTTAAAATATATATTATTCTCATGCGTTATTTCTTATTTCCAGAAAGGCAGTGTTTTATTCGGTAAGGAGGTTTCATAGCACTATATTATCAATACTGTGTTTTGTGTGGTGGGAGTTAAACTGGGTTTTATGTGCTGGCCTAGGAGTGTGATCATTATAAATAACATGATTTCTATGGGAAAATTTCTTGAGAGAGCCTAATAACTGACTTCCAAATGAATTTTTGGAACACAGATGGTTTGTAAGTTGAGAATGAACAGTATTCCACTTTAAAACCAAAAACTTCCCTGAGTTAAACAAAATGTAACCTAAGGAGGATGATTATCTTGGACTAGAAAAATTAATATTTCTAGTTTCTCTGTTTTTATAACTTACTTCCTTAGCTTTTTAGCACAAATATAATAGATCAGAGAGGCCAAATTTGAACTATAAACTAGAGGCTGTGGTGAATTAAATATATTTGCTTTGTTCTGCAGATGTTAAACACAATTCCCACAAAATTTGAAAGGTGGAGTTAATTCTGACTTCGATGAATCTAATGAGCATCTGTTCTGATTTTTCTAACCATTGATCTTATTTTCTTTTAACTTGATACTGTATGGTTTACACAAGTCCATGTGATAATTGCAAATAGCCAAAGGTGAAGTCATTCCAGAACCCCCCAAAACAGTTTTTTTTCTTAAAATGTCAAATGATTCTTTGAAGATATTTAACAATTTAATATGAGTGCAGAATATGTGACACATAAATACATTTACATTTATTTCTATAAATGTGTCTACACATAAATACATAACTAACTAAAGATTGAGATATTTCTTTCTATAAAAGAAAGATGTTTCTTTAACAAGGATATAGAAAATTATGAAATTCCATGTTATGAGATGAATTGTCTTCTTCCAAAATTCATATATTAAAGTCCTAACCCAGCGTACTTCATAATAAGACCACATTTGGAAATAGGGTCTTAAAGAGGTAATTAATTTAAAATGAGGTCATTAAGATGGGCCCTAATTCAATATGACTGGTGCTCTTACATGAAGAGGAAGTCTTGACACAGCCACATGTACAGAGGGAAGACCACATGAAGACAAAGGAAGAAGACAACCATCTACAAGCCAAGGAGAGCAGCCTCAGATGAAACCAGCCCTGACGATACCTTGATCTCCGACTTCTCACCTCCAACATTCTGAGACAATCAACTGCTATGGCATAAGCCCCTCAGACTAAGGTACTTTGTTACGGCAGCCCTAGCAAATCAACATGCTCCATAACCTAAAATTATGCCAAGAGGTACAAAACACAATTAAGGTTATTTGTTCTGCAGATGTTGAACAAAATCTGCACAATAGATATTTTATACTATATTAATAGATTGTAGGTTTTCAAATTAGGTTACATAGTGATATTTTGGAGTTCTGCAAATGCCTTAATTTAAATTTTACTCTAGGCTATATTTTAAATGTTTTAAAAATATATGTAAACATTCAAATATATTGGATATCAAAATTCAGTCCATTGCAGGCTTTCATTTCACTAACTTGCACTGCCCTGTTATACCATCATTGTGTAGATCTCAGAACAATGCTTCTCCTAATATCACTGTGTGTATATTTTAATTATCTGAAAATATCATCAGAACTACTGCAGTTTTGCAATAGTATTTTTAAAAATAGCATCCTGCCTAAAATGTCTATGTTTGGTAGTAATTCTTTAACTTTATCCCATTAAATAAAGATTAATGGATTATCAAAATAAATTACATATCTTTATAAGAAAACCTGGAAAAGCAGTAGGAAGAAACATTCCCATAACCTTGCCTATAAGTGATATTAGTGATTTTCTCTGTAATTTCTTGTTTGACAATTTTGTTTTTGTTTTGAGACAGAGTCTCACTCTGTCGCCCAGGCTGGAGTGCAGTGGCACAACCTCGGCTCATTGCAACCTCCGCCTCTCGGGTTCAAGTGAGTCTCCTGCCTCAGCCTCCCTAGTAGCTGGGATTACAGGTGCATGCCACCATGCTCGGCCAATTTTTGTATTTTAGTAGAGATGGGGTTTCACTATGTTGGCCAGGCTGATCTTGAACTCCTGACCTCAAGTGATCTGCCTGCCTCAGCCTCCCAAAGTGCTGGAATTACAAGCATGAGCCACGACACCCAGCGACAATTTTTTTTTATCGTTAGAGTATTAAGACATGCATATACTGATAATTAAAACTAAAAATATATAATTTCTGGGAGTAAAGTTAATATGTAATATGCTTATTAAGAAACATTCTGAAAATGTAGAAAGTAGCAAAGGAGAGAATAAAAATAACTTAGAATTATAAACACCCACATGTAAATGCAGTCCTGCATGTATATTTGCTTATTACATAAAGTTATGGGCATGCTCTTTCTGTGCAGATTGTTGAGGAGATGTATGCCACACACAAATAAATCTCAAATAAGGCTCTGGTGTGTGTGTTCAGTGCATGCCCTTACATATAATAATCAATTATATAAAAAGAAGAGACTACCATGACATGCTGAGTCATGGTGACATCATGTTAAAGACAGCTTTGGCACATAATGTAAGCTCCCTGTGTGATTTATGTATGTAGCATAAGAAAAGTAAGCAGTTGATACGTATTATTAGCAGTTAAATTTTCAAACAAAAATGTCCTAGTAATCCTCTTTCAAATGTTTATATCAGTTTAATTAAAGACAACCTTAAGGTTGCAAGGGAAGCTGCTTTAAAAAAACTGACACTATTTGCATCTCAAGATTTCCTCAATACAAACAATAACCGGATGTTGATGCAAATTTGCAGTAATTATCTACAAGCTTTGTGTCAGTGTTTTTGTTCTTAATGTATAGTCCCATGACTATCCTTAACTGACTTTATAGTAAGGAAATATTTTACACTAGTTAAACACTGGTTTCATCCTATCATTTCAACCTAAGATTTAATTTTTTAAAAAAAATGTGAAAACCACTGATGTAGAGGAACAAGTAAAGGAACTAGGATCTTTAGTCTAGAGAAGAAAAAGTTAAAGGGGAACATGTAAGCGGCCTTCATATATCTGAAAGAGAAGTTTGCTTCAGAAAGTAGGAGAGTGAATTGATGACGGTGCAGAGGGACAAATCTTAGCACAATACAATCTAAGGAAGAACTTTGTCATGATTACTCCTTTCTGCAAGTAAAGGGTTGCCTTGTGGGCTCCCAAGAACCCCATCATGGGAGATATTCAAGTAAAGTTTGGGTCTTTAAGGAGACTGTACGAGAGTCCTCCTTGGGAAAATCATTAGCTCCAATTCAGAGCTCAGAATTTCTTTCTGCTCTTAGAGAAGAAAGAAAGCCTGTTGGCCCTCTCTTTTAGGGATTTAAAAGAAAACCTGTAAATTTTCTGTACTCTTAATCATGTAAACCAGAAGATTAAAGTCACAGATAGCCAGAATGCTCCACCTGATACAGCAGAGTTCTATGGCACAGAGCAACTTTATAAAAGCTCTCTCCTTAGATGGGGATAAAGTGGTGCTTGGAAACACTAAGCTTCAGAAATTGGGGTTTGCAAGTAGGAAAAACAAGAGAAGGGATTCAAGAAATTACAACCTGAAGGGGGAAATAATAATTTTGAGTTGACTTACATAAGAACACTTTACATGCTCAGGCTTATACAACTAAAAAGGGAAGCAGGGAAGCCCTGTCAATGAGGATGCTCCCAAGCCTACCCTAATATTAATGGCTTATTCAAGCTCTTGAATATTTACTTTGGGAAAAAGCTGAGGCATGCCCATTGCAAACTGTGACTTACTGTTGAAGTCATCCATGACAGGCAATATAACATGATCATTAGCAGTGTACCCTCTGAAGCCTGACTTCCTGGATTCAGAGCCTGGTCCTACCTAGAAAGAGACCAACTCATCCCAGTTCGCCAAGGACTTAGCCAGTCTTAACTCTGGAAGTTTCATATTTTGAGAGCCCTCTCCAGCCTCAAGTAAACTAGAGGAGTTCACTGTGGTAGCTCTACAACTGGCCAGTTGGGAGAACTTGTATAAGGTCCCTAAATTCTGTGGGAGCAATAAATATACCTACCTCATAGAGTGGCTCTGAGGATAAAATGAGTTATAAATATAAATTGTGTAGAACATGGTCACTCAGTAAACAGGAGTGGTTTTTAGTATCTGTGATCTGTTCAGCCAGCAATGTGACCTTAAGTAACATGAAAGTTCTAGTGTGTGTTTACATGCAACTATTTAAAACAAGCCCCCTCCCTGTTTTCATCATGGTCCTACTAATAGCCCAATTACTAGCCATTAAAAAAAAAAGGATGCTCTCCATCATTTAAATCCATAGACTTAAATCCGCATATAAACTTCATGTACATTGCTTAAATCCACTGATCAGAAGACTATATCCAGGAATTTCAGGAAAGTGCTTCATCTGTAGAAGATACAATGGGTCTCAGAATCACCTGAAACAGCCCTGAGTAGGATGTTGGAGGATGGGGAAAAGGGAGCAGAAATGATAGATTATTCAGCAGGATGAATCAGAATGATGACACAGATCCATGCAAATGCTAACAGCAGAGACACACTAAGTAAAAGGCCTGGGAATAATGCAGTGATCGGTTTCATCATTTATACCACGTTTGATATTCAACATGAAAAGAAAAAATATAAAATGTAGAGTATTTACACCTAACTACCACTGGGCAAGGACATTCCTTTACCACCTAAAAAGTACCTTCATCATATATGGGGGAGAGACCGACAGTGGGAGACCACACCTTGCCAGAATCATCAAGGGTATCTCATTTGCTTTGAAGTGACACCACCAGACCCACAGCCACCATGCCACTATTTCTACTTTAACTAAAGTGGGCTGGATGATCTTTGAATGTCCTCAGGGGAAAAAAAAAGTGGGGGAGAGAGTTTGCTGATTCAGAGCTTAAAAAGTTAGTAACAGTCACTAAAATAAAGCAGGTTAGGACAGGTTGCTGAAGACCCAAATATGTGTGGACAAGATCCCATAAAGCACATTTCCTGGAGGCCTGGATCCTGCTTCCTGCCTTCTAAGCAGCTGGTGTGGGGTGTGTGGGGCAGGGGTGTTATGTTCCCAAGCATCCCCCTACCACCAATCCTTCTCAGACAGGAAGTTTGCAAGTTGCTAGGCTTTGAAAGTATTGTTCCTTGAGATGATCCAGAGGTAACAGACCACATCAATTTTGTTCTTTCACGGAGTAGTTCTATTTATTCACCCTGGAGATGGGTTTAGACAAAAGAAAACCTTAGTCAACTGGAGCCTGACTTACCACAACCATCAATTAACATTTTTGCTTTTCATTTAGCTTCCACGAGAAATGAAGTGAATCACAAGAAAGTCATTTGACATTAGGGATTCATCTTTTTAACCAACCAGTTCCCAGGTCTAACCAGGTATTCGCAAGTATTCTTTTCTGACTCATCTTGTTTATCTTCTATATTTATTATCAAGTTAAAAATGTGAATTTATGCTCAGATCAGTGATCCTGTAGCATAAAGTGGTGTGAAATATCCAGAATGATTTCTACTAAAAGGTTTTTACTTACCTTGCAATCAAAGAGTGTACTAGCCTTTCAGAATAGGGAGGAAACTTAGAGATAGCATGTGTGCTTCTCACCTGGTTCATGCCCCTTCACTCTCCAGGGTGTCCTGGTTTGAACAACAAATTATTTGCTCACCACACAGACCATCTATCTCAGTGCTTTTAAGACAATGTTAGCCGCAAAATCCTTTTTTCAAACTAAATCCTACACAGCGCTCTAATATATAGACAGGGTGACTGGACATCCCAGTTTGACCAGAACAACAGAGGGGTTTTAGAATTAAGGACTTTAAGGCAAGAATTGGGACAGTCCCTGGTAAAACAGGTAGGTCAGTCACCCAGTTACAGACTACACAAAAGCTCTGTTTTGTCAGTGTAATTATATTTTGTAAATACAAATTCATAATACTCATTTATTATTAACTCAATCAATGAAAAAATAAGGCCGTTTTAATAACCACAAAAAAGAATGATATTGAGAATGAGGGTAGCATTCTTATATAAGCCTCAGCATCCAGCTAGTTTTTTAACTCATTTTGGTTTCATAGTACTGGGGAAATTGATTCACATGAAGTAGTCATGAATGATAGCTTGTTGCTGATATTTTAGCAGTCCCCTTTATAAGCTCAGAATTCTTTCTAATTAGACCAACCAAGAGGCTTATAAGAGGAAAAGCAGGCTGGGCACGGTGGCTCACGCCTGTAATCTCAGCACTTTGGGAGGCCAAGGCAGGCGAATCACGAGGTCAGGAGATTGAGACCATCCTGGCCAACATGGTAAAATCCCGTCTCTACTAAAAATACAAAAATTAGCCAGGCGTGGTGGCGTGTGCCTGTAGTCCCAGCTACTCAGGAGGCTGAGGCAGGAGAATCGCTTGAAGCGGGAGGCAGAGGTTGCAGTGAGCCGAGATCATGCCACTGCACTCCAGCCTGGTGACAGAGTGAGACTCCATCTCAAAAAAAAAAAAAAAAAAAAAAAGCAGGCTGTTTTCACGTCAAATCACTAACCATATCTAACATATTCTTTATGACAAATGCAAAAGTCATATAAGAAGCATCAAAATTTATGAAGGGCATAAAAACTCTCTATTATATGACATACATATGTGTATGTGGTATGTGACATGCTAGTGGCCCACTTTTTATTGCTCAACTCTCCCAACATCAGATATTAAAGCACCTGAGCCTGTCTGGCTTTCTTGCCGTTTAATTAAGGCTCTCACATCTGTTCTACAATAGTGTAGTGTCCTGTACAATTCTGCACTGGGGATACATGTGTAGGCCTGAATTGTAAGAAACACCAGCACTCTTAATCAATATTAATACATTTGCAAGAAAATGTGGCAGAAGAAACTTTGTCCCATGTCTATACAAAGCAAAGTTAAACAGGTAGCACAAATTGAAAAGTTGTCAGTGTGTTGCATGTTGACATGTAGCATATCTTTGCTTGTTATTTTTAATAATCAACACACTTTAAAATGATATTCCAATTATGTCTTTGCAGAACTGGGTTTCAGAAAGTGCAAAAGTAGTGACGATAGGGAACACTTCTCTTTTTTTTCTTGAGACGGAGTCTCGCTCTGTCGCCCGGGCTGGAGAGCAGTGGCGCGATCTCAGCTCACTGCAAGCTCCGCCTCCTGGGTTCAGGCCATTCTCCTGCCTCAGCCTCCCGAGTAGCTGGGACTACAGGCAAGTGCCACCATGCCTGGCTAATTTTTTGTATTTTTAGTAGAGATGGGGTTTCACTGTGTTAGCCAGGATGGTCTCCATCTCCTGACCTCGTGATCTGCCCGCCTTGGTCTCCCAAAGTGCTGGGATTACAGGAGTGAGCCACCGCGCCTGGCCAACACTTCTCTTTTTTATTATTTTTTATTTTAAGTTCAGAGGTACATGTGGAGGATGTGCCAGTTTGTTACATAGTTAAATGTGTGCCATGGTGGTTTGCAGCACAAATCATCCCATCACCTAGGTATTAAGCCCAGCATCCATTAGCTATTCTTTTTGATGCTCTCCCTCCTCCCCAAAGTCCACCCTCTGACAGGCCCCAGTGGGTGTTTTCCCCACCATGTGTCCATGTGTTCTCATCATTCAGCTTTCACTTATAAATGAGAACATGCAACATCTGGTTTTCTATTCCTGCGTTAGTTTGCTGAGGATAGTGGCCTTAGCTTCATCCATGTCCCTGCAAAGGACATGATCTCGTTCCTTTTTATGCCTGCATGGTATTCCACAGTGTATAAGTACCACATTTTCTTTATCCAGTCTACCATTGATGGGCATTTAGGTTGACTCCATGTCTTTGCTATTGTGAATAATGCTGCAATGAACATACACATGCATAATGAATAAGTTTCGTAAAATAATAATTTATATTCCTTTGGGCACATACCTAGTAATGGGATTGCTGGGTCAAATGGTATTTCTGCCTCCGGGTCTTTGAGGAATTGCCACATTGTCTTCCACAGTGGTTGAACTAATTCACACTCCCACCAACAGGAACGCTTCTTTGTGTAGCATTTATTGGATGTCAGGCTCTAAATATTAACTCATTTAGTCCTCACAACAATCTATGAGATAGGTTTTAAATCTATTCAATCAAAACTGCAGTGCTGGGCTAAGTGATTTGCTGAAGGTCACAAAGCTGTGAAATAACACTGCCAGACTTGAGCTTACACAAGCTGGATCCAGGTCTCTGTTCATAGTCACTAAACTTGACACTACACTCACCTCGGTATAAAAACCCTGCTCCAATGTGTTTTATAGACCAGGAAACCTGCTCCTGAAAAGTTATGGGACTAGACCAAGCCCATGAAATTTGTAAATGGCAGAAGGTCAGGAACCTGCCTTCCCAAAGCCCACTTCAAAGTCCTCTCTCCCACACCTGGACATCCCTCAGGGTGCTCTGTCTAACCCACCTGTACAGACATCAATAACAGATTTCAGTTCTGCGCTCCCTGTGCCCTGCCTCTGGGTAGCAAAGGTTTTCTAATGCGTGGGGTATTGCTTTATGAGCATTTGCTCAGCAGGACACACGGATGCACACTCCACAGCCCCGACAGACAGAGAGTAAGTGAACAAGATCCTGATTCCATTAAAAGAATAAAGAGAGCCTCTTTCCTTGTACAGATTATCTCAGCTATAAAGGATCTAAGGATCTGTTTACAATTACACAAATGTTGCCTGTTTTGTTCCAGACAGGGCTCTTTAAAACATCATAAGCAAGCCGCAAGGGCCCAGAGGGTGGCCCCATTTCTCCCTGAGTATTAAACAACTCTGTGAGCTTCTAGAGTACAAGAGGGACTCCTTTCATCAGTAGCTACAGAGAAGAAAACATCTACCAGTTTGGTGCATATGACTGAATTACAGTTCGAATATACCCCAAAAAACAGACTGATGGAAAATCACAACTGCCTTTACACATGCATGCCATTCTCTCCTTAATTGATGTGTTACTAAAATTTGATTTAAGACTAGATACAATACTTTCATCTCTAATACTTTCCGAAGAAACATTACAAATGGTGAGATTCCCAAACTATCTTCTTTCCAAATGCATTCAGTCCCTGTTAGGTGAAATACTACATATTTGCAATCAAAAAGAGAAAATGATATTGTACAATATATTGTCTTCAAAATAGCAGAGGTACTGTATATTTAAAACTATACTTTATAAATATACTTTAAAAATAAACACATATAGTAATTTCTGGAACATATTGAGACATTGTAACTAAACAATGTTGAAAGCATAATTAAATAACTGTTCTTAGTTATCTTTAATCCTAACGCCTGTGGGAAAACCAGATTTAATTACAGAAGACAAGACGGTAGGTAGCAGTAGTAGTGCTGAAAGGAGCTTCTGGGCACTTTCAAGAGCTGAGAATAGGAGAGTGCGTTGGTTCTCCGTGTCTAATTTTACTTCTAAACAGAGGCTGTCCTTTTCTTTCTTGTCGGAGGCAAATCAGTAATAATGGTCATTTGCTGCCTCGCACTGTCTTCTCCAGCACGCTGCCTCCTTCGCTGTGGCTCCAGTCCCCACCGACTCTTAGTGAGGTCACATGCTGGCCATGGGTGAGGCAGGGTGGCCTCACACAGACACATCTCATGGCACTTTCAGAGGCTGCAGATGCCTGCTCAGAGCCTCGTTCTAGGGCCAGAGGTTATAGCACTAACTAGGGGCTGGACAGGGGCCACAGTGCTGCCTGCATGACCGCTGGCCCTGACCGTGTTGGCCCCACCCACCACCTTACCCCGAGGCAGTATCCACAGTCGGTGAACAAGAATGTTCTATCTTTATATTTGCAGGGTAAGAAGACAGGTATTAAAAAAAAAATCACCCTCAATAAAAAGCAACGATTCTTGCTCCACAGAAGAAAAATATGAGAAAAACATAGGCACTGAGTATAGATTTCATAAAGAGAGTAGACTAACTTCCATGACCCAAGACCCAGAACAAATCCTCTGACTCACACACTTAGTTTGATGATCCTTCTGTTCAATGTGGCTTCCTCTAGGAAGCTGCCTTGCCCCTCTGTGGCAGATAAGGGCCCTCTCAACTTCTCACTTGGCACCTAATCATAGTTTCCCTCACTCTGTCTCAGAACCCCAACCTGCTCATCCTCCTCACTGGACCTTGGAATGTGGTGGTTAGGAGCATGCACTTTAGATCCAGCATAATCTGAATTCTGGTCTGCCCATCCGAGCTGGTCTGACCTTCTATTAAATCTCAATTCCTTTATCTGTAAAATGAGGAGACAAATAATTTCTTACCTTATAGGTTTATTGTTACTAACATATTATAATAGTTATTTAAGTTCCTGGAATAATTATTTAAGTTCCTGGCTGTATCCCCAGCTCCTATCATGGTGTTCAGCCCAGAGAGTGTGTTCAATAAATATTAATTAATTGAATCAACGAACAACGCTCAGCTAAGGAAGGGAGGATAGCACCAGATATGGAATGATGTCTTCACCCAGGCAGCTGCTGCTAAGAAACAGTTAAGTTGCCCCGAAGGTTTTCTGAGAACTTGATGCTTCCTCTGATTTTCAGGATGATAAGTGGTCCCTGCTATTTCAAGTGTGGCAGGGCACCCTTGCTCTGTGAAGTGCCATTTCACAAACAGGCTACCATCTGCTGCAATGATAAAAACGTTTGGCGTTAAATTTGCTGTGGTTGTCAGTATTGACGTGCCTGATATTTAGAACACTTACTTTTTTATGGAGCTGATCTGGGAGCACAGAAAGCTTCTGGGAAAACTGCCCTACATAGCTGCCCTTTACAGGCAGAACAGCTGTGCCGCAGTTTTACTGTTCTGAGGCTGATAATAGGGAATTGAAGTATCCTAAGAGCCAGGCTCCATTTCAGAGCCCTTGTAGGTTGCTATTCCAGGGCAGTGCACACCCCATCTGCCCTAGCTTTCCAGCTTTGTTTTGATTTTAGTTCATCACATTGCACGTCAATGTTAAGTTTTTAAATGTTAAGTTTTAACTTTTTAAAGTACCATAGTGGATATACATCTCGGTTCACAAGTCTGACGTGCAAGAAAGATGTTTCCTTGAGTATTTTTTCTTATTAACAACTTCATTTCTACTTAGAGTTCCTATTTCTTGGAAGCCGCAGAAATTTGATTATTCGTTCAGTCTGAATCCTTTTTCTCAAGGGTTGCAATGGAAGATTTGAGGATTCAACAATGTCAAGCTGGTGTGGAGTCTGGGATGTGCCTGGTTCTCCATGCGTCTGTCTTTGCCGAGTCATCTGTGGGCCCTCAGGCATGGATCCTCCAGCTCACTTGGCCACTTCCGGTGCCACCCTTTGGAGGAGGGGAATCATTCTGTGGTTTTCTGGCTAGGGTAGAGTGTGGGATTCTCAGTGAGGCTCTCTATGGCCTTGTTTGCCAAGGCTCACTGCAGAGCCATTTCCTTTCTAAAGCTGTGTGACCTCCAGGGGTGGGGGTCCAGGCACATGTCCTTTAGAGAAGGTGAGTTTTAGAGCTCACCTGTCAAGGAGGCTGTGCGGGCCCTGCTGTCAAGGACCACTGCCTCAATACCCCCACCCTTGCCCCATCTTTCCTGGGGTCAATCCAGGTGACAATCTGGAGAAACCTAATATTCATCAAACTCTCAACAATTTAAATAATTCCAGAGTCCTTGCCATTTCCCTAAGGCTGTGGGGTTTTGAAACAGAGAGAGAGAGAGAGAGAGAGAGACTCCCTTTTTTCTCTCCTTTGTGCTCTGCCACATTCTTGCCCTGTGGCCAGGAGAACAGGCCAGGAGTAGGAAGAGAAAAGTGGAAATTGTGGAGGGCAGATGGAGAAGGGAGGTGGGCATCTGTTAATATTTCAAAAATGATCTAGCCACAGTACACTCATTGGTCTCATTTAACTGTCACGACAGCTGTGTGAGTAGAAGACCTCACTTTTCAGGCGAGGAAGCTGAGACTTAGAAAGGCTAAGTCATCTGTTCAGTGCCAGTCTGGCACTGTTTTGTTTTTTACTGGGAAGGTGGCAGAACGGAAACCCAGTCTCCACACCCCACATGCAGTGCTCTTTCTGCCACACACTGCGTTCCAGGTGAACTGGACTCCTCGCTGTCTTCATTCACAGCTTCTTCCTGCATATCTTTGCGCCTTTCTCCATGCTCTGGAATGTTCCCCTCACCATCACCACCTGTCAGAGTCCTCCCCATCATACATTCCAGAAGGCTTTTCTCGTCACTTGCGGCAGCAGTGACTTCTCCCTCCAAAACCTTTGGACAGCGGCTCCCCTCACGCTGCCTCTGCTATGCTGCTCTGTCAGGGTCATGTGTGCTCAGATCTTATTGCACCCACAATTTTTTTTTGACAGAGTCTGGCTCTGTCTCCCAGGCTGGAGTGCAATGGTGCGATCTCAGCTCACTGCAGCCTCTGCTTCCTAGGTTCAAGTGATTCTCATGCCTCAGCCTCCCAAGTAGCTGGGATTACAGGCATGCACCACCATGCCTGGCTAATGTCTGTATTTTTGTTAATAGTAGAGAGGAGGCTTTGCCATGTTGGCCAGGCTGGTCTTGAATGCCTGGCCTCAAGTGATCCGCCTGCCTCGGCCTCCCAAAGTGCTGGAATTACAGGTGTCAGCCACCGCACCTGCCCCTAGACTGCAAGCTCTTTGAACCCAGGAACCCTATCTTATTTTCTTTAAAAGAATGAACAAATGAATGGATGGGTGGGTGAGTGGAAATAGGTGCTCCATGACTCCAAAGAGAAAGGAAGAGTCTTGGCAGCCTTACATCTCAAGTCAGGCCATAGGATGAGCTCTCGAATTACAGGGCAAGACGGATGGGAAGAAGCCCTGCGAACTAGTTGGCTAGTCTAGAAGAATGTTGGCAGCATATGTATTGAAGAGAAAAAAAAAACAGAATCATGGACAGTCAAAAAAGGTCTTCACCCTAGACAGGATGGTCCTTCCAAGTGAGGAGTGTTCATATGTCTACCACTGGTTATTCCTCCTGAATTCTCTGTCCACATAAATGCAGAAATAACAGGGCCTGAGCATGAGCTGATGTGAAACAATCACCTCGCAGGGTCATTTTGAGGAAAACAGTGTAATAATATTATTACACTAGCTTCCACTTACTGGGGGTCTATGGTCTACCAAGCTTATGCTTAAGATTGTGAAAAAGGCCAGGCACGGTGGCTCATGCCTCTAATCCTGGTACTTTGGGAGGCTGAGGCGTGAGGATGGTTTGAGGCCAGGAGTTCAAGACCAGCCTGGGCAACGTAGCAAAACCCCATCTCTACAAAAAATACAAAAATTAACCTGGCATGTTGGTGTGTGCCTGTAGTCCCAGCTACTCAGGAGACTGAGGCAAGAGGATCACCTGAGCCTGGAAGATTGAGACTGCAGTGAGCTGTGATTGCATCACTGCCCTCCAGCCTGGGCAACAGAGCAAGACCCTGTCTCAAAACAAAACAAAAAAAAAAAGGATTGTGAAAGAAAAAATTCTCAGTTTCACTTATCAACAGTTAAAGATTTAAAAATAGCTATTAGGGGCTGCTTTAACGACTTCTAAGCATCAGCATGGAAGAAGATGTTCAAAATAACAACAGGGAAAATTTGAATTTGTGAGAGTGGAAGGAGGCATACAGATATTTTCTAAGTGGCCTGCAGAAAGACTTCGTGGTTACCCTGTAGGAAGACTAAAGAAAATAAGTAGTTGGTTGCTAAGCACCATCTTTCCATCAGCATATCTCCACACTCAATGACATCATACAAAACAAGATTCATTCTTATGAGCCATGAGCTAAAGGCTTGTCTGAGGGAAGTTCATCCCAGATGCCTAGCATATCAGGAATTTATTTAGCCAACTGGTAGGTGGTTGATCAACTTGAACCATGGTTACAACCAGATGTATACAACCACATGCTATGTCAGAAAAGGTGAGTCTTAACTGGTTAATTATAATTTCTCCTTTTCTTTTAAATGAAGTACCAGGTAATAATTTTTAAAAGGTACACCAAGTTTATGCTAGGGCTTTTCTTTCCACAGTTTAAAGAGGGAATAGACTATGACAGGGAGAACATTTTAGATAAATAAATGATGTGTGTAAATTTCCCCCATTTGTTTTAATCTTCTTCCTACACGCTATCCGGCAGTCCATCCCACCTGTCCCAAACGGTGGGACAGGCTGCAGGCTACATTCTTCCACCTTTCATGGTGTCTTGCCTTGGTAATTGCTGTTCCCTTAAAATAGAGCAATGAAATCAATGCTATGTGGGCAACTGACAATGAGGAATCTCTCATATTTCCCAGAACGAAGAAAATCTTAGCCATAGGGGTAAGATTGTGTTGAGCCAGATACTATGTCAAACATTGAAAATATAAAAACACAAACATTAGTAAATAAGCTACAGCCCCATTTTTCCCAGGTGGCCTCTAAAATGCACCTCCCCTACCCCCCACAGTGATCTCCACCTCCTGGTATTCATGCCTTTGTGTAATTTCCTGGTTTTGAGCATGAGCTGGACCTAGTGACTCACTTCTAATGAACAGAATAAGTCGAAAATGATGAGCTGTCACTTCCGACATTAGAGGGCAAAAAAATCTGTGGCTTCTGGCTTTGGCCTCCCCTCTCACTCTCCCACTGGCTTGTTCTGAGGGAAGTGAGCTGCCATGTTGTGAGCTGCCCTGTTGTGAGCTGCCCTACAGAGGGGCCCATGTGGCAAGGAACTGATGTCTCCGGTCAACAGCAGCAAGGGCCTGATGCCTGCCAACAGTCACTTGAGCGAGCTTGGAAGTGTATCCTCCCCAGTTGAACTCTAAGATGACTGCAGCCCTGTTGAATATCTTAGTTGAAGCCTTGTGAGAAACCCTGAGTCACAGTGATAGAGTTTGGATGTGTGTCCCCACCCAAATCTCATATTGAAATGTAATCCCCAGTGTTGGAGGTGGGGCCTGGTGGGATGTGATTGGATCATGGGGCAGATTTCTCATGAATGATTTAACGCCATCCCCTTGGTGCTGTCCTCATGATAGTGAGTGTGTTCTCATGACATCTGGTCATTTAAAAGTGTGTGGCACCTCCCCTCCCACTCTCTTGCTCCTGCTTTCCCCAGGTGACGTGCAAGCTCCAGCTTTGCCTTCTGCCACGATTGTAAGCTTTCAGAGGCCTCCCCAGAAGTAGATGCCAGTGTTAGGCTTTTTGTACAGCCTATGGAACTATGAGCCAATTAAACCTATCTTCTTATAAATGACCCAGTCTCAGAAATTTCTTTATAGCAATGCAAGAACAGACTAATACACACAGGCACCCAAATAATCTGCATCCAGGTTTCTGATCCACAGAAACTAAGAAAATAAATGTTAGTTGTTTTAAGCCACCAAGTTTTGGGGTAATCTGTTCTGCAGCAATAGCTAACTAATGGGGTAATAGTTATAGAAACAAAGAGTAACCCGCATCCACAATGTCTTTATTATGTGTCTGAAACTGGACTAGATGTTTAACATGCATCATTTCATTTATTTCTCACAATGCTATGAGATATTATCGTTATCCCCGTCTTACAGGTAAGAAAACTGAGACATAAAGAGGCTGCTTGACTTATTCAAGGTTGCACTGCTAATAAATGGAAGAGCTAGGACTGAAGCCCATGTCTGATTTAAGAGTCCTTGCTCCAAAATCAATGAATACCTCCTCCCAGGCACATGCAATGAGCTTCATGCAACAGAGAAAGTGTATAATTCCCCAGGTGACCAAGGGAGAGAGTCAGGCATTAATGCCTGAAGGTTTTAGAGAAGTTTTTGTGTTTATGTTGGGTCTAGAAGAATAAGAAGCTGATCAGACCTCTAAAAATTGAAAGTCCATTATAAGACTTGCCTAAGCGGACTGTCATGTTCAAAGGCATATGAGGTAGAAAAATCTCTTCAAATTTCAGAACTTCTGGTATAAAGTTCAAAGCTATGGGAGATGAGGCCATGTAAATAAATAAGGCTAGATTGCAAAAGGGTTTTCTCCTGTTAAAAACACAAATTTTTAATTGGGTTACTCTTCCTTTATCTTTCAGCTCTTAAATATAAATATTAATTCAAAATCATGTCCAAAAAAACACAATTTAAATTTCCAGATCGTGTAAGTTAGGCTTTGCAATTGACCAGAATTTTTATTTGAAGTTTTAGATTCAGATTACAATAGAGACAGTTCTAAGAAATATTAACTTTTTCCTTTAGTGGTCTATGACAAGTAAATACATAACGAACAGAGCTTACTGTTTGTCAACATGACTAATTCTGTAAATATTATCTCAGCCTCTATGATTTCATTGATTTAACGTCAGGTGTGTGGTTTCATCTGTCTCAACAAGCTGCAGATCTATTGTGTCTTACTTGGGAAATCTGTGGCCTTGGGTACCGGAAAGAAAACACTCGCAACATTGAACTCTCATTTATTGAGGCAGTAGCTTTTATTGTAGAAAAATATAAAATTGCAACTGATATTTGTGATGTCAAACATTAAGTTTCTATACACCCAAATAGATCTCAGGTAATTGAAAGAATTCTATTATCTTACAGTAGAAAAACAATCAGAAATGCTAATATTTAACAGCATTGTAGAGGAACAATAACTGATTCAACTTTAAAACATAAAGAAAATAAAAACAAATGTATAGAGCTTTTAAAATCTAAAAGTAGCCTGGGCAACATAGGGAGACCCCATCTCTACAAGAAATTTAAAAATTAGCTGGGTGTGGTGGCACGTGCCTGTGGCCCTAGCTACTTGGGAAGTGGGAGGATCACTTGGGTGGAAAGGTCAAGGATACAGTGAGCCGTGACCGTGCCACTACCCTCCAGCCTGGGTGGCAGAGTGAAACTCAGTTTCAAAAAGTAAAATATAAAGATATTATGCTGTAATTTGAAAATAGGAGAGCAACATGTTGCAGCAGTCATTTCCATTAAATAGGATAGAAGGTTAATATGTATAAAGAACTCCTGAAATCTATACAGAGAACCCCAATATGCAAATAAGCAGTCATAGTTATTCCCAAAATACCTATTATATTCCCAAAATACCTATTATATTCCAGATGCTTTGTTCATTCTCTCATTTAATTTTTTCAATAATCATGCAATGTCTTGATTGTTATTCTAGTCTTGCCGCTGAGAAAATTGTAGCTTAGCAAGATTAACTCACCCAAGCTTAGTTAGTGGCAGAGGCATCTTTTAAATGGGACTCCAAGGTCTGTATTTTGTCTGCCATGTCATTCCATGTAATTGAAAGCATGAAGATCACGAACAGACTCTATATAGCTTCTGTACTATATTATCCTCAAATATAACCTGAGTAAATTAAAGCAACTTGCAGGTAAATGTTAAGCATTCTAAAATATCTTTAGATTTAATGATAACACAAATATTGATATAGGTTTGATAATGGAAGGAAGGAGTAAATCTTTTACCACATCAACATTGTGATTTGATAAAACCTAACTGGAAAGAAACTTGACAAGCACTTTATAAAAAAATTATTTGGGACTGTCCGAACATCACATTCACCAAAGCCTTTCCTGGTATCTCCGTGCGCAAACAGAATTATGTACCTTTCCTCTGTACCTTGAAAATATTGACCTCTATGTCCCCAATCCATCACATGTGACTGAAACACAGAAAGAATTTCTTCATAAGTATTTATTGACTAAATGAAGAAATAATTCCTTAGAAGTGAAAAAAAAATATACACATGGAGACATTCATTACAGCATTCTACACAATAGTAGAATGATGAAAACAAGGTCGACAAAACCGAAATGGTTAAAAGACATTATAACAACATGACTGATTATTTCATAGCCTAACAATTTAATAGGCAGTCACCAGTGAAACTTCAAGAATATGTAGCCATTATGGAAAAATAAAAGTTGTATACAAAATGTAGTGCGATTGATCTAATGTTAAAATGTGTTTGTATGGGACAAAGACTGCAAGTTAATATACTTAAAAGTTGCCAGGTGCAGTGGCTCATGCCTGTAATCCCAGCACTTTGGGAGGCCAAGGCGGGAGGATTGCTTGAGCCCAGAAATTTAAAACCAGCCTTGGCAACATGGCGAACTCTCTTCTCTACCAAAAAAAAAAAAAAAAAAAAAAAAAAAAAATATATATATATATATATATATATATATATATATATATATGCTTTTTAAAAATTCTGGGCATTGTGGCACATGCCTGAGGTCCCAGCTACTTGGGAGACTAAGGCAGGAGGATTCCCTTGAGCCAGAGAATTTGAGACTGCAGTGAGCCGAGATGGCACCACTGCACCCCAGCCTGGGCAACAAAGCAACATGCCGTCTCCAAAATAATAAAATAACAAATAAAGTAAAAGTTAATGGTTATCTTAGAGTGGTGGGATAAGGTTTTCTTCAATCATTTCTCACAATTTCCTTTAATGCGATTGTTAAATTACTTATGTTCATCTCAAAAATGACTAAAATTGCTCTTAAGATTATTTGGAGGCCAAGAAAAATAGTTTGTTATCAAAATTTTCTGTCTTGACCATTAAGAAGTTCAGAGCTACCATAACTTTCCTTAGCTGTTTGTTTCTGATATAATTATTTTCCCCCACCTTGATCTCTATTAATACTTAGTTCTTACTTTTATTTTTCTTTTAGTGGTTTGAGGAATTTATAACTGTGCTTTTTAAGCTGCTTCAAATCATTTTTACAAGTAGGAGGATTATAAATAAATAACAATAAAGATTGCCGTGTAATAAGTAAGCTATACATAATACTAAGACATTATTCAAGGAATTAAGCACTAGAACACTGTATTAGGAATTAGACATCTAGACATCAGATGTCTAGAAAACCATCTGAATGCTAATGAAAGCTAACTCCTTTACACTTCCAACCTTCATCTCCCCTTCTCTCCCAAAGAACTAACACCCTTACACAAAACTCTACTGCATTACTTCTCCATGATGTCTTTTTATTTTAAACTTGTACGAGCAGTGACTACCTCAGCACAGCATATGCTGTTAGTATTAATGTGCTGCTGAACGATATGGCATCATCTGCTTCCACTGGGACATCACCTCTCCGTTCCCTTCCATGCCACCACCCTCCTCCTCCCCCACAAGCTCTTTTTCTTTCAGGATGTGATCTGTACTTTAATCCTTCTTGCTCCATTGTAATGCTTTGTATTTTTAGCTGTTTTGTCATTTACTAAAAGCAAGAGTCAGATAACTCAGTTGTTCATTTTATAAGCAATTCCACTCTCAGAACAAAATTGCTCATTTTAACACAGCCCTTGGAGTTAACCAAGGTAAGAATACATGAGAATTAGTTGTATCTGGCTCTCTTTTAAGGTTTTATTAACATCATTTTCCATGTAGACTCTTTTAAAAGACATGCTATCTAAATAAAACCAGCCTTAAATCATATAGGAAGAGACTAGTTCAGGTAGGGTATCAAAAGACTAATTGTCTGCATTTACTAAATCAGATAAAATGACCTTGAACGCCTATGGCCATTATCAACCCTGTCTTCTATCCTCCTCATCCATCCTCCCACGAATGGTATAAATTGGTATTGAACAGAAAATTGGAAAAACCAATAGCATTTTATACTATTTCATAATAAAGAAGAAAATGGCAAAGTAAAACCCCAACAATATTTATATAGTTCAACTCTTTCTTACTCTATAATTTGAAGACCTTTCAGGGGTTTGAAAGATTTTCAAAATATTATTTTCAGTGTGCAAAGGAAATAACTTACTTAATACCTGGCAATTAAGCCTTTGCAAACTCACAGGCTGAAAGGTTTTATTTATACCAAACAGAGACCAAGTTGAAAAGAGTTAAAAGAATATATTTTGCAAAGTTAAGTATAATTCTAAGCAAACCTAATCTTTTCTAAGTACACAACAGTATTTCCCAAACTGTCTCCATTAAGGGGGATAAACGGAGAGGAAGCCCATACATTCTACATTGTATTTCAGGGCAGGAATTATATTTTTAGTAGTGTTAAATAGAAAGTCTTGATAGTCATTTCAAAGGAACCATTGATACCAAAAAAAAAAAAAAAAGGTGGAGAGAATGCCTGTTATGGGCATGTGCTTGCTTCTAGCTGGCTGACTAACAATAGAAACACCATTTGGGATGTTCCTATGAAATGAGCACCAACATGATTTTTCCTTAACAATGTGCAGCCATGGATGAATCAAGTCAGGTCAAGAAAGCGATTTTTGTTACCTGTGACATAATGATATGATTAATAGCTATAGAATCATAAAATGTAGCTCAAGGACAGCCTTAGCTATAAAATAAACACATCCAGTCTTCTACTTTTATTTTGTAGGTGAGGAAACATGGGTAAAAGGTACAGGGGCTTGCCCAGGGTCAAATGATTTATGATAATCAGCCTCAGGACTAGAATTCCTAATCCAGTGTCCTAGTGACCATGCCATACTGCCTCTTATCCATCCTTCCATCCACCCAGCCATCCATTCAGTCTATTCTACAGGCATTTATGAAGCGTATCCTTATAAAGCTTAACTCTGTGCCAGAAACAATGTGTGGCTCTAGTGAATCATTCCTCCCTGTGTGCACACTCCTTTGCAGTATGACTTTTCTGTTCCTCCCGTCAGGTGGTAGACTTTATTTCCCCACCCATTGAATCTGGACTGACTTTGCCACTCGCTTTGACTTTGAAAATGTAGTGGAAGTGATATCATACAACTTCTGAGTCTAGACCTCAAGAGACTTTGCAGCTTCTGCTCTGCTCTTCTTGCTGCTTGGGGACTGCCATGCCAAGAAGCCCAAGCAAGCATTCTTAAACTTGAGAAGCCATGTGGCAGAGAACCAAGGTACCCCAGCCAACAGTCCCAGGAACTGCCAGACATGTACATGAAGCCAAATAAGACCAGCCCAGTCCCTAGTCAGTGTGCCAACTGACCACAGATGCATGAGTGAGCTCAGCCAATACCATGTAGTGCAGAGACTAACCATCAGACAAGCCCTGCAAATCATGAGCAAATTGTTTATAGCCTCCACGTGTTGGGGTGGCTTGTTATATAGCAGTAGATAACTGATCAACTACATTAAGTGCTAGTCTCTAGAGAGAGAGAACTAAAGAAAGAGGTGAACAAGACAGTCTTCACTATCAGGGAACTCACAGACTGATGAGGAATACAAACACAAAATCATCTTTAAGAAATAGAGTGATGTTTTGTGCAGTTTTCTAAGTGAGAAATTGTCAGGGACTAACTTATGGTATTGAGGGTAAATTCAATAGGGTTTGATGACTGAGTGGGATGATTGAAGAAAGAGTCTAGTATGATGTCTACTTTAGAATGCTTGATAGCTAGTGGTAACATTAAGATAGAGAAGGCCTAAAGAGGGGTAGGTTTAGGAGAAAGGAGAGGGAGATGAGTAGTGCAGATTTGACATGTTGACTTTGATGATGAACCTAGAAGTTTCAAGATGAAGTTCAGGACTCTGTAACATCTAGGTAGAAACGGATACACAAGCTCAAAGTTCTGGAGAGCAGATTGGACTAGGTGGCATCCTTGAGAATCATCTACACCTATTAGTAGTAGTTTAAGCCACAGGCAGGGATTAAACTGACAGAGAGAATGTATCAACCAAACTAGAGGTGAGGGAGTAGAGACAGTCAGTGGATTGTTCTTTGAAAAATTTTCTGGGATCAAAAGGAGAGACATAGTGGGACACTATGTCTCAGGCCAGACTTGAAGTAAGATTCTGCACTTATTCACATTTTCTTGTCTCATGCCAGACTTGAAGTAAGATTCTGCACTTATTCACATATTCTTCTCTCCCAAAGAAAAACTACTACACAGAGCATCAGCTAAACAAATAAAATGTGCTTAAGAACTTGAGAAGACTGAGCACGGATGTTACATCACTCAGTACACAGCATTTCTTTCCAAAGATCCTCATTAGAAAAGTCTTCCCAAGTCTCTCATTGGGTCACTAGCTGTTGAGTCTCATTCTCTCTTTTGAGACACTTCCCTTGCAGGCCCTCACACACATTCTGCCTTTTTCCTTGTCCAGAGAACTGAATGCCCAGTTTTCTCTGGGCATCCGTGTAGCCATAGGCCCTGGAAGCATAGCCTCTAAGTGGGATCACCAAGGCATTCACAAAACAAAGCAAGCACCTCACAGGACATTGCTAAGAAGCAAAAACAAAGATCTCTATATCTTGGTACATATTGAAATGGGTTTCAGGAAAACACAGTGGAAAGAGACTAGAGCAGGGGGAGGAAGTGCAATGCAATATCAGGCTGGGCACCAAAGAAATAGATAATCCAAAGTAATGCAGTTGAGTCCTGGACAAGGATGATAGGCGTAAGAGGCACAGAAGGATAAACTGGACTCAAGACTTTGAATTGGGCATTGTTGATTCTTATTTAACTAACTTGACCTACTTTTTTCTTTCTAATTGGAATATGTTCCAGTTTCAAGGAAGAACTATAAATCAAAATGGGGAACTTCTTATAGTTAGAAGTTTAACCTAGAAACCATGAAAAATAACTAAAAATTTAGAGAATTATTTTCCATTTTTTAATTAACATTGTTCACCTACAAGGAAACTTTAATAAATTCAACCATTCTGGCTTTTAATTAACATTTCCTCACACAATGACAAATAAGACGGCAAAAATTATGGAAAAACACAATTATCACTATTTTCTTTAGCTACTATACTGTATTAGAATCTGCTAAGATCTCTGGCTCTATTTCCTATGCATTTTGTAAAACAGAAATATCTCTGGAATGAACTCTGTACTAGAAACTGCTCCCTTATAGAATGGGGAAAATAATTTATGTTATGGTAATTATCCTTGTCCAACAAAATATGCTGAGGTAAGAATTAATAGAACAGCCAAGTTCTCCATCTTTTACTCAGAGGAATAGAAATAATTCCAATATGTATCTAGTGCATCTCGAGGGAAGTTTTGTGATGTTTTTATATTTTACCAAACCACTTAAGAGTTTTGTGATGCAAATGAAAATAGTAATTTTAGCTGGCAATAAAAATAATATCTTGACAATGGAAAAATTTGCTAATAATCAATTATACTAATTAGGATTAAGAAACTATGACACTTCAACAAATATTTAGAATCTGGTATAAAACTAGTTATGAAAGACCACATTTTTTCCAAGAAGTATTAATGCACATAATTAGACAATGGGGTGTATACGTCTATTAAACAGGAATCACATTTCTGCTCCTTTTCAGAAGCCTACATGGATAAGGATATAAATATGCACAAACTTCCTGATTCTGAGAGAATTATTTATTTTTGAATGGTGGGAAGGTATTTATTTTAAAGATGAAAGAAGAAATTCGGATACCTTTAGAAGGCCTGAAGCCCCTCCATATTTTTCACCCAATATTTAGGCCTCATATTAGCTACCACCATTGCAATAAGAAGGCTTGAGCTTTCATAGCCCCAGCAGACATCCTTGGATGTAGTTCTCAGAAGCTTCTGGAGGTCTGCACTCTATAAGAACACTACAGATACGACTGGAAGTGAAAAAAAAAAGGTGCTCTTTTCCAAAATATCTTGCATATTCCTGTCAAAGTAACTGAAATTTCACCATTAGAGATTTTGTTCCCTGGGTTGTTTTCTTTTCTTTTTTTTTTTTTTTTTTTTAGAAAAAAAACCTTTGTTCTCTAGTGAGTAAATATTTACTGAACACTTACTGAATTTTATGCTTAGGTTTGTGGTATATGTTCTGAGAGTTATAGGACAATGTAGGATCCAGTTGCTGCCATCAAGGAGAAACATTCAAGTTGGGAAAACATGAAGACTACAGAGTCCAAGGTAAATGGCATTGCGTTGTCCTGTGTGATCTTTTGGCCTGTCCAAAGAGAAAGACACCACAGAACACAGAGAACTCTGGAGAGAGAAGGGTGTGTGGCAGGTGGATGAAGAGTAAGCAAGAGTAAATAATGCCCCATGGGCATTTATGCAGGTGCTCTATTCAGCTCAAATGTCCAAATGTCCATGGCCACCTTAGTGTTCCTGCACCTGGGCAAGGAAAGGTGGCTCTTCTAAGATTGTTCATATGTCTTATGACTGGAGCTCAGACATGGGCTCACGATCTGGTGTAAAAATATATAAAACAACACCTTAGTCTGTACAAATTTTATAATGTGTTACATTTCAAGATAATATTAAAATGAAACACTGTTCTCATTGTAGGTTCACCCTGTCTCTTTTTAATGATGCTGTAAACTTAAACAGAAAAAATGCTCAGCTCTAACTGCAAAATACAACATGGGAGGGTCAGTGAATACTGTAAATGTATTTTTTAGATGTATTGCTAAAACAGGTCTGTGGGTTTATAAGTTTATTTTACCAACCTTCAGCTTGCTGATACACAGGCCAGAACAGGCCTCAAACTTGGTTGTGCTTTCCCAAGGAAAGGTGCTGCCAACTGCAGGTGCTCACAAGGTGGGGATGAAAGGGCCAAGAGGGAGATCCACTGGGAGAATGGACATAGGGTACAGACTGAGAGTAAAATTAGAAACTATTGAAAATCCAAAATGGTGGCTTCAAAGAAGGCTGATAAATGTAATCATTCATTTTCCTTGGTCTTGACATGAGATTTTAAATGTCATAAATATTATAAACCCTGACCTCCCTCTCTTACATGAACTCATCAACATCTGCATTGTAGATTCTCTAATCTTCTAATTTAATTTGTTATTCTCTAATCTAACCCAGAACATTAAAATGGAACCTTTTGCCTTTAGATGCATAAATAAAAAGCTTTCAACTACCCAGAGAGAAGAAAATTTTTCCATACTCCCTGGGGACTGAAAAATTGGGAGAATGATACTCTGATGATAGGCCCTCTTCTTGTTCTTCACAAATCATTATATAATTACAAGAAAGATCATTGGATTTAGTAAAAGGCCATTTTCAACCTGCTCAGTGGTCTTGCAAAAGGCCAGAATGTGAAGGTCTGGTACTCAGATTAAAATGTGAGCCAATCTATCTAAAATAAAAATCATAAGCCCTGCTAGGGGAGACCTTTTTTTGTCCTCCTTGTGATTCCATATAGAGAACCCTCAGTGGACACCATTCCCAACAGCTTCCCTGCTTACCCACACTTCTGCTCCCAAACCCTGCAAGCTTCTCCTGTTGGATCTGCTGCCTACAGAGAGGATCTGTTCTGCTCTTCATTGTGCATTGGCTAAGTGGGGCAGGTCCCCCTACCCTGGCAGCCTGCAGGCTTCCAAACTGCCCACCGCACTTGGGGCTAGGCAGCCACCTGTCTCATTCAGGGGTGGGAGCAAGCCCATTTAGCCACATATCCGAAGCCACATTCTCCTACCAGCTTATCAGGAGTAAGGCTGGCATTTGTCTCATCTCTCAGTCTCCTTTGTCGTGTTTTGTTTAAGCAGAGAAAGAGAGAAAAGAGTGGGGGAGAAAAAAGGACTAACTAAGAGAGGTCATTCCGTTATTCCATTCAGAATTACTAAGCATTTCCAGAAACCCCAGACTGGGTGGTAGTTGCTCTGTCTCTGACTTTGGTGGCCTTATCTTACCACTTCACACAGAAACATCCTCCTTATAAGTCCGTTTTCCTGACTAGACTGTAGGACCTTAAAGACATGAACTATGTATCATCAACATTTGTATCCCCAAAAGTTAGAGGATACAAATGGCCCCTTATGTAGCCAGGGCCAGCTTCATGGGCATGTGACCCACACCGCCAGACATGTGGGGCTCCACCTTTGGTTTAATGCTCTGCTGCCACCATCTTGACTTTCTTAATAATTTCTTCCCCACCTTTTAAGAAACAAGAGACAACAAAGAGCATTTGCAATTCCCACACAAGCAGTAATCATGAAAACTAGATCTCTTGAAAGATTTCCCACAGGGAAGTAAAAATGCCTGCCTACTATTCCACACTCCACATTTTTATCTTGCAACAGGCCTTGCAAATTATGTGTCCAGTCCTGGCTGTAGTAGGCCCTCAGTATTAAAATAAAATTGCATGTTAGGATAAATGACAACAGAGTTCAAGGCCTGACTCCTGGCTCTGCCACTTGCTATGTGACCTTGGCAAAGTTATTTAAGCCCTGAAGCCTCAGTCTCTTCATCTCTAAAATTGGAATAATAGTAAAAATAATAGTTATAATGAAAAATTAAATTAGAAACTCCAGGTTAGGTGCTTGCTACAATTCCATCCATGTTGTCGCAATTACGCTAAATGAAATTAGCCAAAGACAAACAAATACCACCTGTTCTCACTTATGTATGGAATCTAAAACAATCAACCCACACAAGCAGAGAACAGAATGGTAGTTTCCAGATGCTGAGGGTGGAGAGAATGGGAGATTATACCCAAAGGGTATAAAGCCTTTAGCTAGGAGGAATAAGTTCAATTTTTTTGAGAACTATTGCACAGCATAGTGAATATAACTAATAATTGGGCACTGTCTATTTCAATAACACTAAGAGTAAATCTCAAATCTCATCACAAAAAAATGTCAAGTACTTGAGGTCATGGAAAGGTTAATTAGTTTGATTTAATCACTTCACATTGCATTCAAAAATTATAACATCACTTATATATACAATTATATATATAATTGATATAAATTGTATATACAACTATAGTTTGTCAACATATAATTAAAGTGCTTGCTACAATACCTGACACATAATAAAGTCTTAACAAATATTCAATACTTCACTTATTACTACTGCTACCAGTGCTAATACCATTGCTGCTACGGCTAATATAAAACTCAACTGGATTCCAAGGAGAAGACGTTGACATGGTCATGTCTTCTGGAATGTTCTGTGCTTTTGTTGATTTTAGCTCCCAAACTTTCTTCCGCTAGCTCTTAAAAGACCTCTGAGGGAAGTTATTGTTTCACCTTTTAAGAAACGAGACAACAAAGAGCATCTGTAATTCCCACACAAGCAGTAATCATGAAAACTAGATCTCTTGAAAGATTTCTCACAGGAAAGTAAAAATGCCTGCCTACTATTCTGCACTCCTCTGTCCCATCCCACAAGTGAACATTTACGTTCTCTCTCCTTTATCTCATCTAAAGAAAAACGAAGAAGGAGGCTTTAACAGCCCCCGATGCTGTTACAGAGTGGGGGAACATGGCTTCCCTTGGGGAGATGGTAGAAATGAGCAAATGGCCCTGGGAGGCAATGCACACCCCCATTATTTAGGGACAACTCTTTTCTTGGTAATTGGGTCTCTTTTTTTTTTTTCCTAGCTCCTTTTTAAAATTTCAATATATTTAACTTGCAGAGAAGTCATGTCATTTGAGGTAAGTTTTCTGAGAATGTTCTCATTTTATCACCTCCCTGCAGATTCCCTTGTACTCCTCTGAGCTGCTGGGAAAGTTCTGAATCTATTTTCTCTTGACTAATTGGGTCAGACAGACTCCTAGCATGACGAGAAGCGAGGTTTTTCCAGAGGTGGTGGGTTAAAGATCTTGATTCTGCAACCGGTGAGCTTTTCATTATTTCTCCTCTCAGTTTTAGAAGAGGAGAGGATGTCAAATATATATGATGCAAACCTTTTTGAAGCTAACAGTTAAGTAACTTTTGTGTTTGTGTCTCGCCTCATCAAATCTTGGTTCTTAAATATATTCTGTCCTTAATCTAGACTTAGTTTACCTGCATTTCTCTCTATCCCCATAACTTCCAGCCACCCACAATGGTTAGACAAATGACAGAATCTTTTCTTATTGGATCAGCAAAGGGCACCAACCTATTTCACCTGAATTTAGTCCCTATGATCTCTAGTTCCTTCCTTTTAAGAAATCTACCAGAGTCCACATCTTTTTATACAGGTTAGATTTTACTCTCTTCTCTTTCTGATAACTCCTAGAGCAAGGTAGCAAGAGTAACAGGGCACACTAATCCCGTGTAGAAAGATGGTATCTGCTCATGACTATCACTTCTCTAGGTTACTAGAAACAGGGAATTCTTAAATTCGCTGACCCTACATTTCTCAACAATCAGCACCATCTGTTTTTCAGGTTCCATCCATTCCTTGACTACATGAGGAAGTCTGTGTCTTAAAATTTTTAGATTATCTGAATCTAGTAAGAATTTAATTATAATTAATTATAATGTACAATTGAAAATATTTTCAAATTCTTTCTGTGACTTTAGTACCTTCCTAAATAAAATAAATTTAAGGATGATGGTAAGACTATTGTCTAAGTACCATTAAAAATAGACATGGAAGTCACTGGGAACCCAAAATATTCTTTGGATGTTGGAATCTCTGTCCACAAAATCCGCTGTGTAAGAGATGTAACTTCCTTTGTTTTTCTATAATTGAACTTAATTTCTTTTTTTTTTTTTTTGAGATAGGGTCTCACTCTGTTGCCCAAGCTGGAGTGCAGTGGTGAGATCTCAGCTCACTGCAGCCTCGACCTCCCAGGCTGAAGTGCTCCTCCCACCTCAGCCTCCTGAGTAGCCGGGACTACAGGCACGAACAACCACGCCTAGCTAATTTTTGTATTTTGTAGAGACAAGGTTTCGCCATATTGCCCGAGCTGGTCTCAAACTCCTGAGCTCAAGCGATCTGCCTGCCTCAGGCTCCCCAAGTGCTGGGATTACAGGTATGAGCCAACATATCCAGCCAGAACTTAATTTTTATTATATAAGTCCTCATGCTTCAGGTAGAAGAAACTTAAGCCCAGTCAATTTATCCCTGCCACCCTCCCTCTCCCTGGAGTTGTGTATAATTTCCAGAAGAGTTTATGTGGTGCCAGAGCCTGAGAGGTATGTCCTCTTAGAGTCGTCACCTATCCATGGTGACATGTATTCAGCTGTCTTGCTTCTGTCTCGTCTCTGACCCCATGTCAATATAGGTCACTGTCCACCACAGGCTCTCCATGTCTGCGTATTTATCTGTCCGTTTACCTGCCTGTCTGTCTCTCTCTCTGTTTTTTATCTGTACTTTTCTCTCTCTTCTGGCACATGGGATCCTTTTGCTTCTCTTACAAAAGAAAGGGAAACCCAAATGAGACGATCAACAGGCCATCTGGGTGTACAGGAGTGATTATAAGGCTCCAGGACATGTGGAAATTCTGTGAGGTCATCTCAAGTCCATCAGCGTGGACATACTTCATAGAGCCTTCTACTTGCCCACTCCTTAAGTTCCTCCTGAGAAAGGGGACCCAGGCCTTCATTGCTCTCAAATCTTCAAATCCAAAGCCAGCTTGGATTTCAGTTATCCCCTACTCTGAACCTGAGAGAGGGAGAGACAGAGAGACAGAGAGAGAGAGAGAGAGAGAGAGAGAGAAGCATGAACCCTTCTTCCTCCAGGATCACATTGTTTGTTCACCTCCTGCTTCCCCTTAAATGCTCCCCACTCCCTGGTTTAGGGGATCTTTGCTTGCGTATGTACTTGTGCACTTGTATGCATCACTGGAGGCACTTAGTTGTGTTCATTTAGGGGCAGGGTGGGGTGGGAAGATGCCACAGGAAGCCATCATAAGGTTTCTACCAAGTCTGTTTCCTCTGAATGAGGCTTTCTTTCCCCACAGAGGGCCTGGGATTTTGAAACTCAAAAGCCAGCAAAAGAGCCTTGGTCCTCTCGGTTTGTCATCCGTCCCTTGAAGCAGTTATTATAGAGCACCCAGGAATGTCCTGAATGGAGGTACAAATCTCCAGAGCTGTGCTCTTCACAGCTCTAGCTATCAGCCATGCAAGGCTGCTGAGTGCTTGGCATATGGCTTGTCTGAATTGAGATGTGAAAGATACATACCAGATTTCAAAGACTGTAAAAGAAAAAAAAAAGGTAAAATATCCTAAATCATTTTTTATGTTAAGGCCATGTTGAAATAATAATATTTGGGGCATATTAAGTTAAACAAACTATATTATTAAAATTAATTCTACTTGTTTCTTTTTATTTTTAATGTGACTATTAGAAAGTTTTTTTATTAATACATTTATAGTACTTTAATCTTTATACATCTTATTTTCTGTTACCATCCAGAATTCTTAAGTAACCAACCTATTTTAAAAAAAAAAAGGGAGGGGGAGGAGCCAAGATGGCCGAATAGGAACAGCTCCCGTCTACAGCTCCCAGCGTGAGCAACGCAGAAGACGGGTGATTTCTGCATTTCCATCTGAGGAACGCAGTTCCTCACCAGCAATGGAACAAAGCTGGACGGAGAATGACTTTGACGAGCTGAGAGAAGAAGGCTTCGGACGATCAAATTACTCCAAGCTACGGGAGGAAATTCAAACCAAAGGCAAAGAAGTTGAAAACTTTAAAAAAAAATTAGAAGAATATATAACTAGAATAACCAATACAGAGAAGTGCTTAAAGGAGCTGATGGAGCTGAAAACCAAGGCTCGAGAACTACGTGAAGAATGCAGAAGCCTCAGGAGCCGATGAGATCAACGGGAAGAAAGGGTATCAGCAATGGAAGATGAAATGAATGAAATGAAGCGAGAAGGGAAGTTTAGAGAAAAAAGAATAAAAAGAAATGAGCAAAGCCTCCAAGAAACACGGGACTATGTGAAAAGACCAAATCTAAGTCTGATTGGTGTACCTGAAAGTGACGGGGAGAATGGAACCAAGTTGGAAAACACTCTGCAGGATATTATCCAGGAGAACTTCCCCAATCTAGCAAGGCAGGCCAACATTCAGATTCAGGAAATACAGAGAACGCCACAAAGATACTCCTCGAGAAGAGCAACTCCAAGACACATAATTGTCAGATTCACCAAAGTTGAAATGAAGGAAAAAATGTTAAGGGCAGCCAGAGAGAAAGGTCGGGTTACCCTCAAAGGGAAGCCCATCAGACTAACAGCAGATCTCTCAGCAGAAACTCTACAAGCCAGAAGAGAGTGGGGGCCAATATTCAACATTCTTAAAGAAAAGAATTTTCAACCCAGAATTTCATATCCAGCCAAACTAAGCTTCATAAGTGAAGGAGAAATAAAATATTTTACAGACAAGCAAATGCTGAGAGATTTTGTCACCACCAGGCCTGCCTTAAAAGAGCTCCTGAAGGAAGCGCTAAACATGGAAAGGAACAACCAGTACCAGCCGCTGCAAAATCATGCCAAAATGTAAAGACCATCGAAACTAGGAATAAACTGCATCAACTAATGAGCAAAATAACCAGCTAACATCATAATGACAGGATCAAATTCACACATAACAATATTAACTTTAAATGTAAATGGACTAAATGCTCCAATTAAAAGACACAGACTGGCAAATTGAATAAAGAGTCAAGACCCATCAGTGTGCTGTATTCAGGAAACCCATCTCACGTGCAGAGACACACATAGGCTCAAAATAAAAGGATGGAGGAAGATCTACCAAGCAAATGGAAAACAAAAAAAAGGCAGGGGTTTCAATCCTAGTCTCTGATAAAACAGACTTTAAACCAACAAAGATCAAAAGAGACAAAGAAGGCCATTACTTACTGGTAAAGGGATCAATTCAACAAGAAGAGCTAACTATCCTAAATATATATGCACCCAATACAGGAGCACCCAGATTCATAAAGCAAGTCCTGAGTGACCTACAAAGAGACTTAGACTCCCATACAATAATAATGGGAGAGTTTAACACCCCACTGTCAACATTAGACAGATCAACGAGACAGAAAGTCAACAAGGATACCCAAGAATTGAACTCAGCTCTGCACCAAGCGGACCTAATAGACTTCTACAGAACTCTCCACCCCGAATCAACAGAATATACATTTTTTCAGCACCACACCACACCTATTCCAAAATTGACCACATACTTGGAAGTAAAGCTCTCCTCAGCAAATGTAAAAGAACAGAAATTATAACAAACTATCTCTCAGACCACAGTGCAATCAAACTAGAACTCAGGATTAAGAATCTCACTCAAAACTGCTCAACTACATGGAAACTGAACAACCTGCTCCTGAATGACTACTAGGTACATAACAAAATGAAGGCAGAAATAAAGATGTTCTTTGAAACCAATGAGAACAAAGACACAACATACCAGAATCTCTGGGACGTATTCAAAGCAGTGTGTAGAGGGAAATTTATAGCACTAAATGCCCACAAGAGAAAGCAGGAAAGATCCAAAATTGACACCCTAACATCACAATTAAAAGAACTAGAAAAGCAACAGCAAACACATTCAAAAGCTAGCAGAAGGCAAGAAATAACTAAAATCAGAGCAGAACTGAAGGAAATAGAGACACAAAAAAACCCTTCAAAAAATTAACGAATCCAGGAGCTAGTTTTTTGAAAGGATCAACAAAATTGATAGACCACTAGCAAGACTAATAAAGAAAAAAAGAGAGAAGAATCAAGTAGACGCAATAAAAAATGATAAAGGGGCTATCACTACCGATCCTACAGAAATACAAACTACCATCAGAGAATACTACAAACAACTCTATGCAAATAAACTAGAAAATCTAGAAGAAATGGATAAATTCCTCGACACATATACTCTCCCAAGACTAAACCAGGAAGAAGTTGAATCTCTGAATAGACCAGTAACAGGAGCTGAAATTGTGGCAATAATCAATAGCTTACCAACCAAAAAGAGTCCAGGACCGGATGGATTCACAGCCGAATTCTACCAGAGGTACAAGGAGGAACTGGTACCATTCCTTCTGAAACTATTCCAATCAATAGAAAACGAGGGAATCCTCCCTAACTCATTTTATGAGGCCAGCATCATCCTGATACCAAAGCCAGGCAGAGACACAACAAAAAAAGAGAATTTTAGACCAATATCCTTGATGAACATTGATGCAAAAATCCTCAATAAAGTACTGGCAAACCGAATCCAGCAGCACATCAAAAAGTTTATCCACCATGATCAAGTGGGCTTCATCCCTGGGATGCAAGGCTGGTTCAATATACACAAATCAATAAATGTAATCCAGCATATAAACAGAACCAAAGACAAAAACCACATGATTATCTCAACAGATGCAGAAAAGGCCTTTGACAAAATTCAACAACCCTTCATGCTAGAAACTCTCAATAAATTAGGTATTGATGGGATGTAGCTCAAAATAATAAGAGCTATCTATGACAAACCCACAGCCAATATCATACTGAATGGGCAAAAACTGGAAGCATTCCCTTTGAAAACTGGCACAAGACAGGGATGTCCTCTCTCACCGCTCCTATTCAACATAGTGTTGGAAGTTCTGGCCAGGGCAATCAGGCAGGAGAAGGAAATAAAGGGTATTCAATTAGGAAAAAAGGAAGTCAAATTGTCCCTGTTTGCAGACGACATGATTATATATCTAGAAAACCCCACTGTCTCAACCCAAAATCTCCTTAAGCTGATAAGCAACTTCAGCAAAGTCTCAGGATACAAAATCAATGTACAAAAATCACAAGCATTCTTATACACCAACAACAGACAAACAGAGAGCCAAACCATGACTGAACTCCCATTCACAATTGCTTCAAAGAGAATAAAATACCTAGGAGTCCAACTTACAAGGGATGTGAAGGACCTCTTCAAGGAGAACTACAAACCACTGCTCAAGGAAATAAAAGAGGATACAAACAAATGGAAGAACATTCCATGCTCATGGGTAGGAAGAATCAATATCGTGAAAATGGCCATACTGCCCAAGGTAATTTACAGATTCAATGCCATCGCCATCAAGCTACCAATGACTTTCTTCACAGTATTGGAAAAAACTACTTTAAAGTTCATATGGAACCAAAAAAGAGCCTGCATCGCCAAGTCAATCCTAAGCCAAAAGAGCAAAGCTGGAAGCATCACACTACCTGACTTCAAACTATACTACAAGGCTACAGTAACCAAAACATCATGGTACTGGTACCAAAACAGAGATATAGATCAATGGGACAGAACAGAGCCCTCAGAAATAACGCTGCATATCTACAACTATCTGATCTTTGACAAACCTGACAAAAACAAGCAATGGGGAAAGGATTCCCTATTTAATAAATGGTGCTGGGAAAACTGGCTAGCCATATGTAGAAAGCTGAAACTGGATCCCTTCCTTACACCTTATACAAAAATTAATTCAAGATGGATTAAAGACTTACACGTTAGACCTAAAACCATAAAAACCCTAGAAGAAAACCTAGGCATTACCATTCAGGACATAGGCATGGGCAAGGACTTCATGTCTAAAACACCAAAAGCAATGGCCACAAAAGCCAAAATTGACAAATGGGATCTAATTCAACTAAAGAGCTTCTGCACAGCGAAAGAAACTACCATCAGAGTGAACAGGCAACCTACAAAATGGGAGAAAGTTTTTGCAACCTACTCATCTGACAAAGGGCTAATAACCAGAATCTACAATGAACTCAAACAAATTTACAAGAAAAAAACAAACAACCTCATCAAAAACTGGGCAAAGGACATGAACAGACACTTCTCAAAAGAAGACATTTATGCAGCCAAAAAACACATGAAAAAATGCTCACCATCACTGGCCATCAGAGAAATGCAAATCAAAACCGCAATGAGATATCATCTCACACCAGTTAGAATGGCAATCATTAAAAAGTCAGGAAACAACAGGTGCTGGAGAGGATGTGGAGAAATAGGAACACTTTTACACTGTTGGTGGGACTGTAAACTAGTTCAACCATTGTGGAAGTCAGTGTGGCGATTCCTCAGGGATCTAGAACTAGAAATACCATTTAACCCAGCCATCCCATTACTGGGTATATACCCATTACTGGGTATATACCCAAAGGACTATAAATCATGCTGCTATAAAGACACATGCACACGTATGTTTATTGCAGCATTATTCACAATAGCAAAGACTTGGAACCAACCCAAATGTCCAACAATGATAGACTGGATTAAGAAAATGTGGCACATATACACCATGGAATACTATGCAGCCATAAAAAATGATGAGTTCATGTCCTTTGTAGGGACATGGATGAAATTGGAAATCATCATTCTCAGTAAACTATCGCAAGAACAAAAAACCAAACACCGCATATTCTCACTCATAGGTGGGAATTGAACAATGAGAACACATGGACACAGGAAGGGGAACATCACATTCTGGGGACTGTTGTGGGGTGGGGGTAGGGGGGAGGGATAGCATTGGGAGATATACCTAATGCTAGATGACGAGTTAGTGGGTACAGCACACCAGCATGGCACATGTATATATATATATGTAACTAACCTGCACATTGTGCACATGTACCCTAAAACTTAAAGTATAATAATAATAAATAAATAAATAAAATAAAATAAGTAAATTTTAAAAAAAAGAAAGAGAATACACAATTTTTTACAGTTTATCAATACAGTGCCCCTCACCCTAACAGGCTAACTTACTGTAAACCACTGAATACAGGGTAAAGAAAATGTTTAGTCATGGGTCTATGCTGACATACAATCGATTTTTAAATTTGCATTATTTTTAAGTGAGACTACTGAAAGCTAAGAAATTAACAATAAAATGGGTCATTGGTAGAAGTAAATCAAATCCTCCCTGAAACTTCACAGGATTCCCACAGCTAAAGGTATGCTGAAAAGAAGCTCACAATCCCCAAATTCTGAAACAGTGTAAGCAAAAGTCAGCAGAATTAGACAATTAAGAATTTCAACAAGTAATCCTATCAGATGATACTATGAAATAAGTATATTTGAAATAATTAATAAAATATAATAAACAGTTAAAAACACCAAAAAAATCCTCAAAATAGAAGATTGGAGAGATTATGGGATGAAATAAAAGTAAAGATTGACTACTAGAAAATTTAAAATCACATCTGTGATTTGCATCTGTAGCTTACGTTATATTTCTATTGGACAGTGCTATTCTAGCGGAATAAGTAATGGGAACCAAAAATAAATAAATATTTTAAAACTGTTATCACTCAACATTTGCATTATATCCTGCCCAAACCTGCTGTTTCTACAATTCAATAAAAGTCAGTAATTATTAACTGTGTGTTATATGCCACATCTCCACAAGAAACTGTGGGGATAAAGTTGAGTAATACATTATCCTTTCCATCAAGGAACTCAGTTCACAGCCTGGTAGGACATACTGGTGAGAACATAATTATCTATCAGAATGCAACAAGTTCAGGATGGGAGCACTGATTTTTTTTTTCTTTCTGAGTAGAAATGGGAAGAGCTAAGACAAGGGAAAAACCCTCTGGAGGAGTTGTGTGAGATATGTAGACCTTGGTAGAAAGAGGGCATTCCACATGGAGGGGACCACACACAAGAGTGGGTCTGCTCAAGAGATAGTGAAAAGCGTCATGTGGCTGAGAGTAAGCTGGATCAGGATAAAAGAGGCTGGAAATTTCGACAGGATCCAGATGAGGAAAGGCCTCGAATGCCAAGCTGCAGGGATTGACTTTGTCTTCTATGTGAATGGACACCCATCAAATACTTTCAAGCAGAAAACATGGTTCGACTGGAATTTTAGAAAGATAACTCTGGCAGAAAAACGGAGGCTAAACTAAAGTGGGGAGACTAGATTCTGGTGGCCTGGGGCATGAGGGATTGGGTGGTTATCAATAGATCCCTGTGACTTTGGGAGCAGCTGAGTCCATAACAGAGTTACTTGGTCTTGCCATTGCTCACACTTAAAAATAAAAAGACATTTTTTTCTGAAATCCTGGTTAGAACTTCTTTAGTCTCCTATTCAAGGCTAGCTTGACAACATTTTATTTCTGGTTGCTCAATAATCAATTGTTCAGGAAAAAAAAAAGCTTTTGTCTATTCTTAGAGAGCACTCAATCCACTTACGGCTTGAACTGGTTATAGGCAGTTAACTCTTAATTTTGCTAAATTCCTTTTTCAGGATTGATATGAAACAGCTCTGAATAAGGGTGAGTTGTACATGAAACTTATTCCTCAACATCCTCTCTGCAGGTGAACCAGTGTCAGAGGTGTCTGAACCAGAGCAACTCCATCTTGAATAGGAGCTGGGTAAAATGAGGCTGAGACCTACTGGGCTGCATTCCCAGGTGGTGAAGGCATTCTAAATCATAGATGAGATAGGAGGTCAGCACAAGATACAGGTCATAAAGACCTTGCTGATAAAACAGGCTGCAGTAAAGAAGCCAGCCAAAGCCTACCAAAACCAACATGGCCACGAGAGTGTCCTCTGTCCTCACTGCTACACTCCCACCAGTACCATGACAGTTTACAAATGCCACGGCAAGATCCGGAAGTACCCTATATGGTCTAAAAAGGGGAGGTATTAATAATCCACCCCTTGTTCAGCAAAAGAAATAACCATAAAATGAGCAACCAGCAGCCCTCAGGCTGCCCTGTGGAGTAGCGATTCTTTTATTCCTCTACTTTCCTAATGAACTTGCCTTTGCTTTGCACTGTGGACTCATCCTGAATTCTTTCTTGGAGTATGAGCCCTCTCTTGGGGTATGGATCGAACACCTTTCCTGTAACACAAGTATATGTGTTCTCTCTTACTTGGCCTAAAAGTGGTCCAATCAGCTCATCCCCACTGCCCTCCACCCACGAGTCTCAGTTCTGCCCAACACAAGGCACAATGCAGGAGCGAATGTCAGCCTTACTCTAACGCACAGAACGACAGCACCCGATCAATCCAGCTAGAGGAGGAAAGACAGCCTGAAAACATTATTTAATCATCTCAATTCACATCTTTGCCTGTGTTTCCAGGTCCTATTATAAGCTTATGGATAAATCTGAAAGAATATAGCAAGCCCTTAAACAAAAATAGGATCCTTTCTGAATATGTCGCTTTACTGGTTGGATAGATATGTATTCATTCTCTGAAGTTAACTGAAAGCACTAACAACAGCAGTAGAAAAAAAAAAAAAAACCTGTCTGAAGCAGCATTCAGAAATCAGTAAAAATAGAATTGGACTGTTCCATTGTGAGATGCCTTAGTTCTCCTGAAAGTGAATAACATAAATAACGATGGACCAGTTTTCTGCTGTGTCTCCCTACCGCTATGAACAACATGGCGGCTTCAGCAGATGAAAGAGATTATGTGATAGCTGCTCAGAGTTTGGATTTTTTTTCCAGTAAATATTTCTGAGAATCTTAGAGTATGAGTCAAGAGATTCTTGAGGATAACCCTCGGATACAGATAAGTCTGAGAATTACACTTGTAGTGCTCAAACCTGTGTTTAAAAGTGGTATTGCTCTAATTGCCTGCATGCAGCTGGTCAGAGGGGCAGAAGGTTTGACCTCCTGGCTCTTGGCCTTAAAAAAAATTAAGAAAATAATTTAGAACAAAGCTGAGAAGATGGTATTGGTAAATAGTAAGTGATCGCAAGGGTTAAATATTTAAAATTGGTGTTACCCAAATCCAAAAAAGCGCTCTCATAGTTGCACGTGTGGGGGCAATCACTCATCATCACAACCTATGTTTGCCTCACCTCTCCTCTGAAAGAGAGATGCAAGCTATTCTGAAAGCAAATAAATACCCTGACATATTTTTGGAGGTGGCATGTAAATCAAGAACAAACTTGTTCAAGTTGACCTAGACTTAAGAACTTTTGCAATTTTGTGGTGTGACTAAGCCACTAAATGCTCAATTTTTACACAATACCATAGAGTCTAACTTGGAGCAGTGCAACTGTAGTAATTTGCCAAAATGGTCAGGTTTGTTAGCAACAGTATAGGCTTCTAATGTGAATCAGAAAGGAACAATTAGGGATAGGCAAAGCCAACAGGTTTTAAGACAAACATCTTGGCTGATTCTAAGAAAACAGTTTTGCTTTCCTCTTTTGTTTTAAATGGAAAACAATTTATTAATCAAAGGAAATTTACTTAATAGTTCTGACTAAGTCTAAATCTTGATATATTTTAGGTAGCCAAGACATTTTTAGAGATGTTATTGAAGTAAATAATGATATATTTTTACTTTAAAAACCTGATAGTTTAAATTCTGGGGAAAATTCAGAGTCCAAATTTGGGCTATTAACAATAATACAGATTCTGAACATGTGGCCATAAAGAACCTTCTTTTCTTCTCTACTGAAGACACATTTGCAATTATCATAGATTCTCTTACTATATTCACACAACATAAAATGAAGTGCTATCACACACAAAACCCTTAATGTCAACCAAAATTCTACTTCTTGATAGGATGCATTTGAAAATCATTCTATATTTTTGTTGCAGAATCTCCCAAATCTTTTGTAGGCATATAGTTTGCATATCTTCAGGATTAAAAACACTTCAAGCTTTATAATCTCTGTAGATCATTGTTTTTTTAGGGCATACCATGCTGGTTTCATAAACCTGATCAAATCTTTGCCTTCAGGCAGACATCTGCAGTTGTTGGCCTCCAGGTGCTTGAGAGTCCTGGTACTTCAAGACCCTCCCCCTAAGGAAGAGAAAAAAAAAAGAACCTCCAGGAAATCTGCAGGTGCAAGTGTGTTTGAGGGGAACTTAATGAATGATGGATTGCCCTTCTTTTATGTTGTGTATTCAAATAGGCAGTGTGTGTTTGCTCTGATGTAGTTCTGACCTTAAGTACACAGAAAATGAGCTCAGAGCTTTTTCTTGGTACTTCTGATGGAGTTTCTCTTTCTTGTTGCCAAAACATCCACCTTTAAGAGTACTGACTGAGGTACTGAGAAAATGAGTTTTCTAGAAGAAAATAGCTAAAAAAATCTCAGTAAAGGACCATTGATACTAGCGAGATAAATATATGGATACTGTATTAGTCCATTTTCACACTGCTATAAAGAACTACCAAAGACTGGGTAATTTCTTAAGAAAAGAGGTTTAATTAATTCACAGTTCCACAACCTTAACAGGAAGCCTGACTGGGAGGCCTCAGGAAACTTACAATCGTGGCAGAAGGGGAAGTCAGCATATCTTACCATGGCAGAGCAGGAGAAAGAGAGTGAGCGGGAAGTGCCACCCTTTTAAACCATCAGATCTCATGAGAACTCACTCACTATCATGAGAACAGGATGAGGGAAATCTGTCCTCATGATACAATCACCTCCCACCCCTGACATGTGGGGATTACAATTCAACATGAAATTTGGGTGAGAACACAGCCAAACCATATCAGATACCATTGTCTTCATCACTTGGACATTTGCCTATGACCGAGTGTTTTGATTCAGAAGCAGAAGATAATTTGAGATAAATGGCTTATGCCCAAGACTCCTAGAAGACCAAAGCCACTCATGGTCCCATGCTTCTTTGAAATTTTGTATTCTTTTTTTTTTTTTTTCTTGAGACAGAGTCTTGCTCTGCGACCCAGGCTGGAGTGCCATGGTGCAATCTCGGCTCACTGCAACCTCCACCTCCCAGGTTCAAGCGATTCTCCTCCTCAGCCTCCCGAGTAGCTGGGACTACAGGTGCCTGCCACCTTACCCAGCTAATTTTTTTTTTTTGTATTTTTAGTAGAGATGGGGTTTCACCATGTTGGCCAGGCTGGTCTTGAACTCCTGACCTCAAATGATCCACCAACCTCGGCCTCCCAAAGTGCTAGGATTCTAGAAATGAGCCACCATGCCTGGTCTGAAAGTTTTTATTCTTTATCCTCTTTGTTATTTTCTTTGTTCTCTGATGGTTCAAAATAGTAGACACTCATATCCTTTAATCATGGTATACTTAATATCCTTACCCCTAACAATTATCAGAAATGGAATTCATTCTCCAGACACAGACCAAGTTGAACTACATATATTAAATCAAAAGAAGAGGCCATTTGACTATCTAAGGAAGGTTTAAGTAGCTTAAGGGACATATGGGTTATGTTTCACTTAGATTATACACACACACACACACACACACACACACACACATATCACACATCTTATAGATAATGTCTGGCATATAGTAAATTGTTGTTGCCATCAAAAGTACATGAAGAGTTTGGGAGTAAGAATCAGTCACTTCGGGAAAATTCTCTTGGTGAAGAAAAAAATAATCCTAAAAAAGCAAAGACTGAATGGAGCAAAAGAGGGTAGATGTCTCCCTCTTGGACATTATCTGGGCTACGCAATGTTCCCACCACAGGTACATGTGGTAAATGCTCTTCCTTGGCCCCTTAAAAATCATTTCCAATCCCCTTCTCACTGGACACCTCCCACTGTGGAGTCTGGAGAAGGAGAGCTGTCTACTCATGTCCCCAGACTTTCTTGCCTGTAGTGTAAAATGCCAAGTGCTGGCCAAGGAAAAACAAAAAGTATTCTGAGTGAGCTCCTGAGAGAGACTTTTCTTTCTAGATAAAGAGAAGAGCCCTTGACTCTTCATCTTGCCTTGCATGTGAATGTGATGCCTGAAGCTGTGTCAGTGTTACGCAAACATGGAGTTATAAGCATGAGGAAGAAAGCAAGCGTGTGAGGATGGTGAAAGATAAAGGGAGAAATAACCTGGATCCTTGAGGGCTCTGCAGAGCTACTGAACCGATGCCAGCAAACACCTAACTCAAGATTCTTGTAATGAGAGGCAAAAATAGCACCTATTGTTTAATCTACTGTTAATCAGATTTTGTTGTTTGTTGTTGCTTGCCCCAAAAATACATCTATCAGATATGGTATGTTATTCACAGGCTTTTATTTATATGCATATGGAGAAGTCACATCAATGCTTGCTTTGTGTCCCATCAGTTTTGATCATGAGTCCCTCACACTCTGGAGCTGCACAAAATTGGATACTTACCAGCGGCACCTGGAGATCTTGTAAGGAATAGTGATTCCTGGAACTAATACCCAGAAATATTGCTTCAGTAGATCAGAAGTGCAATCTGATGTGGTGTCATGGTTTGAGAGCTACCTCAAGATCCACTTTCACTCATAAGCCAAGTGAAATATATTCTATTTCTGTGAAAGATTGTCTTTCTAAAAGAAGTCCTCAACCCATAGCTATTATCCAAGAAATTCAATCAAGAAAGGAACACACATTTTAGGACTTTGTTTTTCAATCTAAAACTACCAAAACAGATTCTGAGGTTGGAATACAGGAATTCGCATTTTAAATAACCACCCCCAACAGACTCTGAGCCCTTTCCTCCAGATGATTGTACAGACTGCCATTCACTCTTTCAAGAGTACTGGTGGATCAACCAACATATACCAGGCACTGTTCAAGGTACTGGGCTTCCAGCTGTGAACAAGCTAGACCAGGCCTTTACCCTCGTGTGGCCTATATGGGAGGTGAGAGGCAAGATACACAAATTAAAAAGTAAAGTAATAAATCAATAGGAATTCCGGATC